>NC_000022.11:33861079-34012594 GCF_000001405.40 Homo sapiens | reverse complement strand
TATTTTAGGAAAAAAGCAATGCTCGGAGAGATTATCCTGCTAATATCAAAGAAGGAAGCAAACAGCTACATTGTAAGCTGCCTCTAAAGAAAGGCAGTATCAGGTAGCTGAGACCCTGTCCTACAACCACAGTAACTGATTACAATAATAACCACAGTGAACTTGGAAGAGGACTCTAAGCCCCAGATGAGAACCACAGTGTGGGCAACACCTTGATTGTAGCCTTTTGAGACCTGAGCAGGGAACTCATCTAAGCTGTGCCAGATTCCTGACCCACAAAAACTGTGAGAAAAGGTGCGTTGTTTAAAGCTGCTACATTTGTGGTAACTGCTATGCATGAATAGGAAACTAATACACAGACCTTCCCCGACTGTTCTAACCCAGATGTATGTGTTTCCCCTACGATTCTCCTTCCTTCTATCCATTCATCCAATTTGCACATATTGAGACCTACTATGTGCTGTGTACTGTGATAGACATTGAGTATAGAGTGATGAATGAGCCATAATCTTTGCCTCCTTGGAACTTAGAGTGTGGTAAAAGACACAAACAAACATGTAGATGCTTAATTTACCAATTATGATAAGTTCTGTAGGAGGAAAAATTACAATGTGCTAGGAGAAGAAATTTTTAAATAATGGAGGCTCAGAGAAGACTTCTCAGAGGAAAGTGTACTTAAGCTGAGACCTGAAAGTTGAGTGTAAATTGGCCAGACAGCAAGTGGGAGCAGAGTGGATAGCAGGTGCTAAGATATTGAGAAAGGAATGAGCTGGACGCTTTTGAGGGCTTAAAAACTGCCAGCATGATGACAAATCAAAGACAAAGAGAAAACCTGGAAGTAAGCATACTGCCTGGGTGACAGGATTATTGAAACCCCAAGCCTCAGCATCATGCAATTTACCCATGTAACAAACCTACACGTATACCCTTTAATCTGTAATAAAAGTTGAAATTACTTTATTTTTAAAAAGCACTTTGATGGTATCATTCCATTGCCTTTTGGCTTCCATTGTTTCTGTTTACATGCCAGCCATAATTTTAGGTCATCTGACAAATTTCTATATTCTTCGTATACATCCTTCTTGGGATTTTAAAGAATCTTTCAATCTGTGTTTTAATTTCTTTTATTAGTTTTAGACATTATCTCTGTATATTGCTTCTTCATATTATTTTCTTTTGTGAGACTTAAATTACACACATAACAAATAAATGTATAATGTCCCATTGAAAAGAGGAGAGAGAGAGAGAAAACCCAAAAGACACCAGAGAAAATGGCCAGCACAGCTGCTATGAAGAGCAAGAGGAGAGGCAGGAGGTGCTAGTGGAGGGTGGGTAGAGGTTGTCCATGAGGGTCCCAAAGCCTGCAGTACAGACGTTAGTAGGGTATGTTGAGGATTATAAGATGCCTTTGAAAGGTTTAAGCAGGGCCAGGCACGGTGGCTCACGCCTATAATTCCATCACTTTGGGAGGCCAAGGCAGGCGGATCATCTGAGGTTGGGAGTTTGAGACCAGCCTGACCAACATGGAGAAACCCTGCATCAACTAAAAATACAAAATTAGCTGAGCATGGTGGTGCACACCTGTAATCCCAGCTACTCGGAAGGCTGAGGCAGGAGAATTGCTTGAACCCAGGAGGTGGAAGTTGCAGTGAGCAGAGATCGTACCACTGCACTCCAGCCTGGGCAACAAGAGCGAAACTCCATCTCAAAAGAAAAGTAAAGTAAAAAAGAAAGATTTAAGCAAAAGAGTGCACAGATTACTGTTAGAAAGTTCACTCTGGCTGATGGAGAATAGATCGGATGGGGGCAAAGATGGATTTGAGCAGAGCAGTTAGGAGACTATCCCAGAAGGCTAAGCGGGAGCGTAGCTGGCAAGCATGGTTCCCATAGATATGGAAAGAAGGGGAAGTCCTGAGAGTCCCTTGGAAGATAGTGTGACTGCACATAAGATGTGTTGACAGGGAGTATGAGGGAAGCAACAATGCCCAGGAGGACTCCTCAGTGTCCAGCATCCTGGAAGAAAAAGCACCACTGGCCAAGGTGAGAAAGACTCAGGGAGGAACACGCTGTTCTCTTTGAGGAGTACATTTTTGCATTGCTATTTCTTCAGCTTCCCATGCCCATCCCCGCCATCTTGGCCTCGCCAACTCCTACTCTACCTTCAGAACCCAGCTCAGGTATCCCTTTTGGGAAACACTGCTTAACCACTCAGCTTTAGTCCTCTTCCCCTGTTGTCCCCAAGCACCTGAAGCATAATTGGCACATGCACAGAGTACACAGTGGCATAACTATCCATGTATGCCCTTGCCCCACAAAACCAGGAGCTCCTTGGGGGAAAAAACTGTACTTCAAAACTACTTCCAACTACAGTTGTCCTTTGGTATACATGGGGGCTTGGTTCCAGGATCCCTGTGTATACCACAGTTCCCGCTACTCAAGTCCTGAAGTAGGTCCTGAAGAACCATAGCTACAAAAAGTCAGCCCTCCCTATCAGGACTTTCCCATCCCAAGAATACTTGATTTTCAATCGTCATTTAGTTGGAAAAAAAATGTGCATATACTGGCCGGGCGCAGTGGCTCATGCCTGTAATCTCAGCAATTTGGGAGGCCAAGGCGGGCAGATCACGGGGTCAGGAGATGAAGACCATCCTGGCTAATATGGTGAAACCCCGTCTCTACTAAAAAAACAAAAAACAAAACCAAAAAAAAATTAGCCAGGCGTGGTGGTGGGTGCCTGTAGTACCCGTTACTCGGGAGGCTGAGGCAGGAGAATGACGTGAACCCTGGAGGCAGAGGTTGCAGTGAGCCGAGATCACGCCACTGCACACCAGCCTGAGTGACAGAGCGAGACTCCATCTCAAAAAAAAAAAAAAAGTGCATATAAGTGGACCCTTGCAGTTCGAGGGTCAACTGTAGAACATATTTGGCACACAATAAAGGTTTGCTGCATGAGAAAGTAGAGTAGCAACATAAGAAAGATTAAATATGGAGAGCCAGTCCTCCTCAGCACACAGCCCACATCTGAGGAATTAACAGAGGCCTCTGAACCATGGAGGCAAATGTCCCTAAGAGCAGATGATGAAGTTCATGCCATCTTCTCCAGCAGGACACCCTGGGCTAAAGGAGAGCCAGTTCACTTCAGACACAATTTTTAAAATTTTGACTTGATTTCTCAGTTCCCCAAAACAGATGAGATGGGACTTATAGGAGTTGCCACCCTGCAATGGGGCACACAGCAAGAAAATAAAATGCACTTGACTATTAAAATTGGGGTGTCTTGCTGCAAAAAAAGCAATGAGTGGGTGTCGAGTCTCCAGTCTGTAGCAAGATAATTATTACAGATTTAAAAACTGGCTTGGCCATCTGCATTGCACTGTCCATACACAAGGTTCATTCAGTCTTCTTAACAAATGTATGAGAGATTAAGAAGCTTACTTGCAGCCAGGAGCTGTGGCTCATGCCTGTAATCTCAGCACTTTGGAAGGCTGAAGTAGGCGGATCACGAGGTCAGGAGTTCAAGACCTGCCTGGCCAAGATGGTGAAACCCCGTCTCTACTAAAAATACAAAAATTAGCCAGACATGGTGGCAGGCACCTGTAATCCCAGCTACTCGGGAAGTTGAGGCAGAGAATTACTTGAACCCAGGAGGCAGAGGTTGCAGTGAGCCGAGATCACGCCACTGCACTCCAGCCTGCCGAGAGAGCGAGACTCCATCTCAAAAAAAAAAAAAAAAAAAAAAAGCTTACTTGCAAGGAATGATAAATTTAAACTTCAAGGGGGAGGAGGAGGATGGCACAGAGCAGACAGTGGGGAGGGATAAGAGGAGGAAAGGATTCACAGGTGTCTTTGGAGGTATTGGTGATGATGATCTGAGTGGTTGTACTCAGCTTATTGTCCTTTATACATTATTACTATATTCTAAATATTTATTTTCATGTATGAGTTTATATCAATTTTTAAGAGTCAGCTTGTTTGCCTAGGGTTACAAAATTAGTCTGTGGCAGAGCTGGCTGGCATTTCAATTCAGACCCTGTGATTCTGAATCTGGTGTCTCTTCCACTATTCGTTGTTGCCTTGCTGCACAGCAAATGCCACCATGAGTTACATCATGGGGCATCCAAACCAGCATCTATGTCTGACAGGGTGTCCAGGGAGGAGACATGAATATCTACCCTGGTTAATACCTCAACATTTAATAATAATAATGTTCCTGTTATTATTTCTCTTATAGTGTCTGCAATGCACATCTGTGCATTGCATAATGCTGTGTTTGATTTTATATACATATAACTACTCAATTGCATCACAACTGTCCTGCAAGACAAGTTCCATTATTTTCATTATACAGAGAAGGAGATTCAGATTAAGTAATTTACAGACTGCATGAGTGATATGGTTTGGCTCTGTGTCCCCACCTAAATCTTATCTTGTAGCTCCCATAATTCCCACATGTTGTGAGAAGGACCCGGTGGGAGATGATTGAATCATGGGGGGTGGGTCTTTCCCGTGCTGTTCTCGTGATAGTGGATGGGTCTCATGAGATTTGATGGTTTTAAAAAACGGGAGTTTCTCTGAACAAGCTCTCTTTGCCTGCTGCCATCCATGTATGATGTGACTTGTTCCTCCTTGCTGTCCACCATGATTATGAGGCCTCCCCAGCCATGTGGAACTGTAAGTCAAATTAAACCTCTTTCTTTTGTAAATTGCCCAGTCTCAGGTATGTCTTTATCAGCAGTGTGAAAATGGACCAATACGGTAAATTGCTACTAGTAGACTGGGGCACTGCTGAAAAGATATCCAAAAATGTGGAAGCAACTATGGAACTGGGTAACAAACAGAGGTTGGAACAGTTTGGAGGGCTCAGGAGAAGACAGGAAAATATGGGAAAGTTTGGGACTCCCTAGCGACTTGTTGAGTGGCTTTGACCAAAATGCTAATGATGATATGGACAATGAAATCCAGGCTGAGGTGGTCTCAGATGGAGATGAGGAACTTGTTGGGAACTAGAGCAAAGGTGACTCTTGTTATGTTTTAGAAAAGAGACAAGTGGCATTTTGTCTTGGCCCTAGAGATTTGTGGAATTTTGAACTTTAGAGTGGTGATTTAGGGTATCTGGCAGAAGAAATTTCTAAGCAGCAAAGCATTCAAGATATGACTTGGGTGCTGTTAAAGCATTCAGTTTTGGCCGGGTGTGGTGGCTCACGTCTGTAATCCCAGCAATTTGGGAGGCCGAGGCGGGCAGATCACAAGGTCAGGAGATCGAGACCATCCTGGTTAACATGGTGAAACCCCGTCTCTACTAAAAATACAAAAAATTAGCTGGGTGTGGTGGTGGGCGCCTGTAGTCCCAGCTACTCGGGAGGCTGAGGCAGGAGAATGGCATGAACCTGGGAAGCAGAGCTTGCAGTGAGCTGAGATAGCGCCACTGCACTCTAGCCTGGGCGACACAGTGAGACTTTGTCTCAAAAAAAAAAAAATGCATTCAGTTTTATAAGGGAAGCAGAGCATAAAAGATTGGAAAATTTGCAGCCTGACAATGGAGTAGAAAAGAAAAATCCCATTTTCTGAGGAGAAATTCAAGCTGGCTGCAGAAATTTGCATAAGTAATGAGGAGCCGAATGTTAATCTCCAAGACAATGGGGAAAATGTCTCCAGGGCATGTCAGAGACCTTCACAGCAGACCCTTCCATTACAGGCTCGGAGGCCTAGAAGGAAAAAGTGATTTTGTGGGCCCAGCCCAGGTTCCTGGTGCTATATGCAGCCTAGGGACTTGGTGCCCTACATCCCAGCAGCTCCAAGTGTGGCTAAAAGGGGCCAGTGTAGAGCTCAGACTGTGGCTTCAGAGGGTACTGTTGGGAGCAGGCCCCCAAAATCTGGCCATAAACTGGCCCCAAAACTGGCCATAAACAAAATCTCTGCAGCACTGTAACATGTTCATAATGGCCCTAACGCCCACGCTGGAAGGTTGTGGGTTTACAGGAATGAGGGCAAGGAACACCTGGCCCGCCCAGAGCGGAAAACCACTTAAAGGTATTCTTAAGCCACAAACAATAGCATGAGCGATCTGTGCCTTAAGGACATGCTCCTGCTGCAGTTACCTAGCCCAACCTATTCCTTTAATTTGGCCCATCCCTTCGTTTCCCATAAGGGATACTTTTAGTTAATTTAATATCTATAGAAACAATGCTAATGACTGGCTTGCTGTTAATAAATATGTGGGTAAATCTCTGTTCAGTGCTCTCAACTCTGAAGGCTGTGAGACCCCTGATTTCCCACTTCACACCTCTATATGTCTGTGTGTGTGTCTTTAATTCCTCTAGGTTAGGGTCTCCCTGACCAAGCAGGTCTCGGCAGAGTACAAGCATCAAGCCTTGGCAGCTTCCATGTGGTATTGAGCCTGCGAGTGCACAGAAGTCAAGAACTGAAGTTTGGGAACCTCTGCCTAGATTTCAGAAGATGTATGGAAACACCTGGATGCCCAGGCAGAAGTTTGCTGTAGGGTCAGTGTCCTCATGGAGAACCTCTGCTAGGGCAGTGCAAAAGGGAAATGTGGGGTTGGAGCCCACACACAGAGTCCCTACTGGGGTACCACCTAGTGGAGCTGTGACAAAAGGGCCACCATCCTCCAGACCCCAGAATGGTAGATCCACTGACAGCTTGCACTGTGCACCTGGAAAAGCCACAGACACTCAACACTCGCCCATGAAGGCAGCCAGGAGGGGTTGCTGTATCCTGCAAAGCCACAGAGGAAGAGCTGCCCAAGTCTATGGGAATCGTGCATTAGCATGATCTGGATGTGAGACATGGAGTCAAAGGAGATCATTTTGGAGCTTTAAGATCTGACTGCCCCACTGGATTTCAGATATGCATAGGGCCTATGGCCTCTTTGTTTTGGCCAATTTCTCCCATTTGGAATGGCTGTGTTTACCCAATGCCTATACCCTCATTGTATACAAGAAGTAACTAACTTGCTTTTGAGTTTACAGGCTCATAGGCAGAAGGGACTTGTCTTTCCTCTGAGGAGACTTTGGACTGTGGACTTTTGAGTTAATGCTGAAATGAGTTGAGACTTTGGGGGACTGTTGGGAAGGCATGATTGGTTTTGAAATGTGAAGATATGAGATTTGTGAGGGGCTGGAGCAGAATGACATGGTTTGGCTCTGTGTCCCCACCCACATCTCATCTTGTAGTTCCCATAATTCCCACAATTTGTGGGAGGGACCCAGTGGAGATGATCAAATCATGAGGTCAGGTCTTTCCTGTGCTGTTCTGGAGATAGTGAATGGGTCTCACAAGACCTGATGGTTTTAAACCAATGGAAGTTTCCCTGCACAAGCTCTCTCTCTTTGCCTGCTGCCACTCCACGTAAAATATGACTTGCTCCTCCTTGCCTTCCACCAGGATTATGAGACCTCCCCAGCCACGTGGAACTATAAATCCAATTAAACCTTTTTCTTTTGTAAATTCCCCAGTCTCAGATATGTCTTTATCAGTAGCATGAAAATGGACTAATACAACGGGATTGAGCCCATTTCTGCCTGACTCCAAAATGTCATTCTATCCATGAGTCTCTTCTTGTAGGATAGGTCTCTACCCTCAGTCTCTTAATCGTGCTTCTCAGCAGTACAGGATTGCTCAGATCCTGGCCCAGAAACCAGTCCTGCCCTTACACAGGAAGAACAGTTACAGAATAGTTGCCAAGGTTGTACTTCACCCAGATCTTCCCTTGAGCCTAATACATCACTGCTGTGGAGTGTGTGGCTCAGAGAGAGGCCTGAGTATCCTACTGCCTTCTGACTCCTGGGATGAGCATGCTCAGGCAGGCATGCAGCAAGGAACCAACAGACAGACAGAGCCAGAGACACAGAGCCAATCGACTCCTCAAGGGAGACCCTAAGCCCACCTCCCCACACAGTCTCTTGGATAAGGGTGTGTAGATGTTGGGGTTCATGTCTCTGTGGTCACAGTGACCTTGATTTTGCAGAAAAGCACAGCCCATGGGAGAAATACCTAATGTAGATGATGGGTTGATGGGTGCAGCAAACCACCATGGCACATGTATACCTATGTAGCAAACCTGCATGTTCTGCACAGAACTTAAACACAAATAAACAAATAAATAATAAATGGAAAAAAAAAGAAAAAAGAAAAGCACAGCCCAGTGGGTGCCCTGGACCTCAAAAGATGCAAGGAGTAGTAACTTCATACCGTTTTTCCAGGCTTGTGGCCATGCAGGCAGAGCCTGAAACTCGTTCCCAGCAGAAGAAGGGTGTTTACTCAAGAGCAGAGTGGTGTTTCCTGTCTTGCTTCCAACACCAGCCTGAATGAGGACAGACATTGTACTGGCTTCCTTGCCTCCAGCGGCACTTGGAGCTGATGCCTCCATGCAATAGCTCTCAGGGGATTCAGAGCTTTTGGGTCACAAATGAAAGGGAAGAACCCTTCCTCGGGCGTGCCCTGCAGGCTGGCTCCCTCCTGGCTTCTCAGCTCACATGAGGCATGGTGACATGTGAATGTCACACTCAGGCCCTCTCACCAGGACCCTCACTGCCTCCCTGTGAGAACACTTTGTCTTGCCACATTATTAACTGGAAAAGCTTGGGGTCATTTGTATCCTTAGAGCGCTGTGGAGGGCAATGACAAAAGTACTTAAAAGTTCAAGATCTCTCGAAAATCCTGGGCTTTGTGTCTCCCTCTAGAGAAGGGTAACTGTCGTCAGTTTCTGAACATTAGGCTGGTCTCCAGTCTATAAAATATCCTCTCTTATCCATGCCATGCCATGAGTAACTTTTAAAATCTACACTTTCATGTGAAACAAATCCCAGCACTCGCCAACTGCCATCCCTATTTTTTTCTTCGTTTCTTTTTTTGTAGTTATGATGTTCTTTTAACATATTCTATTATTTACTCATTTATTGTATTGATAGTCCCTCTCTTCCCACCAGCACTACAATATAAGTCCCTCGAGGAGGCCAGGGCTTTTCGTCTGGGATGTTAATGCTTTGTCTCCTGTGTTATGAACAGAGAGGCACACACTTGGTGTTTAGTAAATATTTGTTGACTGATTGAAGAAATGAATGAATCAATATTAGAAGAGGAATATTTAGGTGTTTAAATGTACCTGGATATTTAGGTGTTTTTCTCCAAAAAACTATGCCTCAAAAATAAAGTCATCTCATATTTAAGTCCTTAAAAAATCTCTGGGTCAGGCACGGTGATTCACCCCTGTAACCCCAGCACTTTGGGAGGCCAAGGCAGGCAGATCACAAGGTCAGGGGTTCAAGACCAGCCTGGTCAATAATGGTGAAACCCCGTCTCTACTAATAATACAAAAATTAGCCTGGTCTGGTGGCATGCACCTGTAGTCCTAGCTACTCAGGAGACTGAGGCAGAAGAATCACTTGAACCCAGGAGGTGGAGGTTGCAGTGAGCCGAGATCGTGCCACTGCAATTCAGCCTGGGTGACAGAGTGAGACTCCATCTCAAAAAAAAAAAAAAAAAAAAAAAAAATCTCTGAATGAGGCCACTAACTCCATTTTTTCCGGGACTATTACTTCACATTTGCAAATGTTAGATGTGATTCTAAACAAGGCATGCCTGAAGCTAGACCTACCCTTGAACTTCCATGTTGGCCTAAGCCAGGCGGAGTTCAGTTTCTGTCACTTGCAACCAAGATTGCAGAACAACACAGAAGAGGGAAACACTGGCCCTGTTCAACAAAGATTCCTAGTGAAAACCTGAAAAATAATGTTCACTAATGTTTATACCATACTACTATAAGCCAACAATACTCTTCTTTGTGATATATATGTATGTGTATGTGTATGTGTATGTGTATGTGTGTGTGTGTATACTCATTTAATTCTCACAACCTCAGGAGCACAGTTGGGGATAAAAACCAGGAAAGAAAAGGAAAAGCATAACTGTCAGAAAAGGAAAAGCATAATTGTGTCTGTTCCCTGCCTGAAAGTGGAATAAATGTGCTGCAATGGATAAGCATTCTGGAGTCAGCTTCATGAGGAAAGAACTATTCTTTTTTTTTTTTTTTTTTTTTTTTTTTTTAAGACAGGGTCTCAGTCTGTCACCCAGGCTGGAGTACAGTGGTGTCATCCTGCTTCACTGCAGTCTCAACCTCCTGAGGGTCAAGTGATCCTCCCACCTCAGTCTCCCAAGTAGCTGGGACTACAGGTGTTCACCACCATGCCCAGATAATTTTTTGTATTTTTTTGGAGAGACAGGGTTTCACCATGTTGCCCAGGCTGGCCTTGAACTCCTGGGCTCAGGTGAGTCACCTGCCTCAGCCTCCAGAAGTGCTGAGATTACAGGTGTGAGTCACCATGCCTGGCTTGTAAGGACTAGTCTTATGCCCATTCTGTAAATGAGAAAACTAAAGTGCTGCAAGATGAATGACCTGCCCAAGTCACATATCTAGTAAGTTGTAGAATCAGAGTTCAAACACTAACAGGCCTGGCCCAGAGGCCACATTATGCTTTATTGCTCGCACCAATTTAAATCTATGTGTAGGGATCAGAGCATTGCTAGAAAAGCCATCCAAAGAAGTTGGACTTGCCCCTTTTCCATGTCCCATGACACATCTGGAGGCACAGGATGTCTATGAGGGTAATTTCTGACAGGGCACAGCCAGGCCCCTGAGGGTGTCCAGCTCTGCAGGTGAGTGACCCAGATGCACACACTGACTTGCAGCTGTGGACATGCAGGAAGCTCAGCATGCACAAGGCCAGCAGGCTGGATGTTCTCACAGGGTCCCTGCCCGATAATCCCCATGGGCTGCACTGGCCGGCTTTGACTTCAAACACAAAATCTTTTTTTGATTGAGATTATGGCCTTTTTTGGCAGCTCCCAAAAAGGAAGAGGATTACTGCCTGATAAAAGAAAAATTCTTACTGAAATGGAGTGAGGCAACTTTGACTTGTAGCAAGCACAGTGTTGGTAATGCAGCGAGAATAGATTCCTGAGAGGAAAGACCCTCAGGAGCACAGCTGGGGATAAAAACCAGGAAAGGTGGTTAATTGTCAGAAAAGGAAAAGCATAATTGTGTCTGTTCCCTGCCTGAAGTAGAATAAATGTGCTGCAATGGATAAGAGTTCTGGAGTCTGAATTGAACATAAGCCCAATAGAAGGAGCAATAATTCAACCCCTCCTAAGCATGGGTTTTTTGATTTGTACAGTACAAAGTTCAAATTCAAGAGCTGACACTCATTGCATAATGTTAGTCAGGTTACTGAACTACATCAGAGTTGCTGTGAAATCAATCTGCACTGCACTTGGCACAGAGTAGGTGCTCCACAGATGCTCTCTTCCATGTCCCCTTGCTTCTGATGCCTTCGAGGGCACAGCAGCATCCACCTCTTCCACACTGCCAGTCTGTTTCTCCTGACCTGAGATTTCTTAGCATCTGCTTTACACCAACACATTCTGCATCCTCCCAACATGCTTATTAATGACTATAAAGAATAATGACTCAGGGTTAGAGTTCAGCAGAGAGTGAGGTGACAAAACACTGAGTGGACACATTGTTCTGAAAACACTGAGCACAGTCCAAAAAAATAAGATTAAAAGGCACAGTAAAAGAGAAAGAGAACTAATCCAGAAGAGTCTCATTCTAAGTCTTACCTTAACCAATATGCAGCCTTATGTATATCACTCAACATGCTTGCATCTCAATTTTCTTACCTGCAAAATCGGAGCATAAGAAGGAATTGGTTTTATAATATAAGCATTTTAAACTGTAAATTCCCCTCTGAGCATTGCTTTAATGCATCATACAAATTTTGATATGTTATGTGCTTTTTCATTTAATGCAAAGCATTCTATAACTTTTCTTGCAATTTATGTTTTGACTCATCGGATATTTAGAAATATATTATGTACTTTCCAAACACTTGGGTATATCCCAGACAGCTTTGTGTTATTGATTTCTCATTTAATTATCTGTGTTCAGAAAACATATCAGCTTAATTTATGCCAATCTTGGTGAATGTTCCATGTGCACTTGGAAAAATGTATATTTTGCTATTGATGGGTAAAATATTTTGTAAATGCCAATAAGGTCAAGTTGACTGATATGTTGTTCAGGTCTCTAAATCCTTACTGATTTTCTGTCTGCTTGTTCTTTCAATTACTGAGAGAGGAGTGCTGAACTCTCCAATTATAGTTGTGGATTTGTGGATTTTTCTTCTCACTTTCATCAAGTTTTGCTTCATATATTTTAAACTGTTATTAGGTATGGAAATAATAAGGACTGTTGTACCTTCTTGATTAATTGACCTTTCTGCTATTATGAAATGTGATTCTATATTCTTAATGGTATCCTTCCTTCTGAAGTCCACTTAGTCTGATATTAATATAGCTACTCCAGCTTTCTTATGCATAGTGTTCATATGGCATGTCATTTTTCATCCTTTCACTTTTAACCTATCTCTGAGTTTACATTTCAAGTGAATTTCTTGTAGACAGCATAGATTTGGGTCTTGCTCTTTGTATCCATTCTGACAATCTCTGCCTTTTTATTCGAGCACTTAGACCCTGTATATTTAGTGTAATTATCAATATGACTATCTTTTAAATCTATGATTTTGCTATTTTTTTCTATTTGTCTCATCTGCTCTTTGTTTCCATTTTTCCCTTTCTGTCTTTTTTTGTATTGGGTATTCAGTAATATTCCATTTTTATCTCCACTGTTGGCTTATTATTATAAATGATTTCTTTGTTTGATTTTTTCAGTCATTTCTGTAGATTTTACAACATGAATCTTTAAACTATTACAATTTAACTTCAAATAATATTATATTACTTCACATAAGAACCTTGCAATTATATAGTTTCATCTGTCCCTCTCATATTTTCTAACAGTTACTAAACATCTTATTTCTACATATGTTATAAACCACAGAATACATTGCTATTACTTTTCCTTGGAATGGTCAGCTATCTCTTAAAGACACTTTTTAAGAGAAGAGAAAAAGTATTTTATATTTACCTACATGGTTATCATTTTTGGAGCTGCTCATTACTTTGTGTAGATCTCATCAGTCCTATTTCCTTTCAACCTGAATGACTTCCTTTAATAAATCTTGTATATATGTTTATTAATGATAAATTTGCTCAGCTTTTGTTCTTCAGAAAATATCTTTATTCTGTTTTCATATTTGAATAATATTTTCAGTGGGTATGAAATTCTGTATTGGGAGAGTTTGAGATTTGGTGTGTATACTAGTCTGGTTGGGCTGCCGTAACAAAATATCATAGACTGTACGGCTTAAACAACAGAAATTTATTTTCTCACAGTTCTGGAGCTATAAGCCCCAGATCAAGGCCTAGCATGGTCAGTTTCTGGTGAAGGCTCTCTTACTGGCTTACAGACAGCCATTGTCTCATTGTGTTCTTACATGGTAGAGAGAGAAAGAGCGAGCTCTCTGGTATCTCTTCTTACAAAGACACTAATACATCAGAACAGAGCCCTACTCTTATTACATTGTTTAATCTTAACTGTTTCCTTACTCCAAATACAGCCAAACTGGCATTTAAGGCTTCAACATATGATTTGGGGGTGGAGGGGGTGGAGACACACATTCAATGTGTAACAGTAGATTTTAATTTTTTTAGTACATTAAAAACGCAATTCTATTGTCTTCTGGTTTGCTTTCTTTCTGTCAGGATCCTGCAGTCATTCTTATCCCTACTTCCCTGCACATAATGTCTCTTTTTTTTTTTCCTGACTGTTTTTAAGATTGTTTTTCCCTTATCACTGGTTTTCAGCAATTTGATTTGGACGTACCTTGGGTGTGTTTTTTGTGCTTATATTGCTTAAGGTTTGCGGAATCTCTTGGACCCATGGGTTTATAGTTTTAAACAAGTTTGGAAATTTTCAATTATTACATCTTTAAATATTTTTTCTGATCCTGCTTCTGTCTACTGGGACTCCATTTCACTCATGCTATACCATTTGATAGTGTCTCACAATATCAAGAGCCACATGTCATTGAGACTCTATTCATTTTTTTGTCATTTTTTTTCTTTCTTTTGATTTGGGTTAGAAAATTTCAATTGCTATGCCTTCAAGTTCATTTGATGTTTTTCCAGTGCCTAATCTATTGTTAATCCCATCCAGTAAATTTTTCATTTAAGATATTGCATTTTTTATTTCTAGAAGTTTCATCTGATTCATTTTTATATCTTACTCTCCTTATTATGTTCATATTTTCCTTTAAATCCATGAGCATATTTATTATAGTTTTTTTCATGTCCGTGTCTGATAATTTCATCATCTCTGTCATTCCTAGGTCTATTTCTATAGCCTAATTTTTTTTTCCTGTTTCTTTGTATGTGGGATTGTCTTTTATTATTGGATTAAATTATACTGTTTTCCTTTAAAGAATATGAGATCTTTTCTGGCAGGTAGATACATTACTTCAAGTTTACCTTCCCTTTCTTATTTTTTTAAATTTTTCCCCTATTTTTCACAGGTGTTGAATTTTTAAAAATTCAACTGTGTCAGGCCACATACGTAATAGTCTCTATGGCTACCCCAGCCTACTACTAAGGCATGATCCCTTTGGATCTCTAAGGAATACCCTGAGTGTCCAATGAGCTCTTCCACTCTGGCTGGTCACTACTCATATATCTCTGGCCCTGCGTGAACTCTGAGAATTCATCAGCTTATAGCTTGCCATTCTATGGCCAGATTCATGGAGTTTCACCCTACACACATAGCTTAGTATTCACTAACTGACTTGAATAGATCTCTATGTAGGAGCTCTCTGCATTTCTCCTTCCTCACTGGTTCTATGTATCATAAATACCAGACACTGCAGCCTCCCTGAACTCCAATCCTAATCTCTATTTCAGCAAGACCACCATACAAGGTAGTCAAGATAGTGCCTCCAAGCAGAAAGCCAAGACCAGGCTGAGACTCACATGTTTGTTTCACGTTTCTTAGGGATCATAACCCTACACTGCCTGCTGCCCAATGTCTAAAAACAGTTTCATATATTTCATCTTATTTTCTAGTAGTTTACAGTGGGAGGACAAGTCCACTTCCAGTTATTCTATCATGACGGAAAACAGGATTCTGGTCCATTTTGAAACAATTTTTAGCAACAAAACTCTCTTTTTAATGAAATCTGTCATATAAATACAATATAGCAGAGGGACAAATGTGAGAAATTCAGGGCTTCACTGAATTTTAATTCATATCGTTGGACATAATTCTTTTATTATTTATGGAACACCTTATGGCATCAAGTTTAAGAATCATTTTCTGGATCAGTTTTCATATCTCTTGATGAAAGAAAGGACAAAACAACCCTGAGGGATGCTAGAAGACAATACTAGACCTTCTCTTTACTTTCAACTCATTTTAATATTTCTTTTTCTGGTAAATGTTTTATGATGGAAAATGTATTAGAATGGTAGTACCTTTAAATACTTTGTAAGTAAACAAATATACATACGTAGGTTAAAGGATGTGTGTTTAATGTTTTTGCGTGTGCATATCAAAATAGCTTGAAGACCTCCGGACTAGATCAGAGGTCAGCAAACTTTTCCTGCAAAGAGCCACAGAGTAAATATTTTCAGTTTGAAGGTCATATGTTCTCTGTCAAAACTACTCAATTCTGCTGTTGTAGTATGAAAGCAACTATAGATTATATGTAAATGAATGAGACTGGCTGTGTCCCAAGAAAATTTTATTAACAAAAATAAGAAGCAGGCTGGATTTGGCCCTCAAACCATAGTTTTTCAATCCCTGATCTAGGTGATTTCTGAAGACCCTTTCGGCAAGAGAATCTTCTGGCTCAACTTCAGCCTGCAAACTATAGAGAAGTAGAATGGAGTATCTGATAGCTCTAGCTCCCTATCTATTCTTAAAGGGGTCATATAATTTTTTTTTTTTTTTGAGATGGAGTCTCCCTCTGTCACCCAGGCTGGAGTGCAACGGCATGAACTCGGCTCATTGCAGCCTCTGCATCCTGAGTTCAAGCGATTATCCTGCCTCAACCTCCCAACTAGCTGGGACTATAGGTGTGCACCACCACACCCAGCTAATTTTTATATTTTTAGTAGAGTCGGGGTTTTGCCATGTTGGCCAGGCTGGTCTCAAACTCCTGACCTCAGGTGATCCACCTGCCTTGGCCTCCCAAAGTGCTGGGATTACAGGTGTGAGCCACCATGCCCATCCCACACACTCCTTCTTTAATCTTTTCAAAAATCATACAATGGTTAAAACTCAAGACACTGGAATGAAACTGAAGTTAGCATCCTAACTCCACTGGGTAGAGCTAGGCTCAGTTTTATTACTTCTCTGTGGATCCATTTTCCTCCATGTCCATCATGTGTCAAACAGGAATTCTAATAGCTACCTAGCACAGAACTTGACACAAAGTACATGTTCATTAATTGTTGGGATTCCTCCCCTAGTCTCCACTCTGGGCCTTTTTTGCCCTTCACAGCAACAAAAAAAAAAAAAAAAAAAAAAAAAAAAAAAAAAGGAGAGAGAAAGAAGGGAGGAGTTTTTTTGTATATCTTTGATCCTTCTCCCCACAAGGTTTACTTCTTGTGCTATGAAAAGTGTAAAGAGAGGTTCCCCTACAGCTCTGTATGCCTTGCCATGCACCAAAACACCTTCCTTACAAAATGGGATGGGGCCAGGAAGGTAGGTGATGGCTGGTACAATTTATACCACATCCTTTAGGTTAGCGATCTCCAAAAGGAAGCGTCTACACCAGGGATTTTACAAAATGATCCACTGGGGCACAGGCAAAAAATGTTAGAACTTCTAATCATATTTATTTTCCATTGCATCCTTTAAAAGTTCCCAGTTTGATATGTTTTTCCACGTATTTAATATATAATACTATAGTACATGCATGTAAATTATCAATAATTATACAGATGTTAAAAATATGCTAAATATTTTCCTGATTATGATATATAATAAGGGAGATAAAAAGCTTAGGAGACCTCTGCTCTACTGCTCTAGGGCTGTAATTCTCAACAGGGATATTTAAACACATTGATGTGTCAGGGAATTTAAAAAGAGGCAGGATAAATTTGGTACCTGTTCTTGGAATATCCATTTTGTTCAGAATTATTTTTTTCAGAGGGGGAAAACAGTTAATATCATTAAAACAAACATATATTTTAGAGTTGAATGCTAACTCCACATGATTTTTCCATGACAAGCATTTATTCTAGATCATGCGATATAATATTCACAACAATATTATTAGATAGGTGGTATTATCATCCTTTTTCTACAAGGAACTGTGGTGGGTAGAATTCTCAAATCACTGTCAGTGACTCATGATCTTATGTATTAGCCCATTCTCACACTGCTAATAACGACAAATACAAGACTGGGAAATTTATAAGAAAAAGAGGTTTAATGGACTCATTGTTCCACGTGGCTGGGGAGGCCTCACAATCATGGTGGAAGGTGGAGGAGGAGGAAAGGCACGTCTTACTTGGCAGCAGACAAGAGGGTGTGTACAGGGGGACTGCCCTTTATAAAACCATCAGATCTCGTGAAACTTATTCACTATCACACAAACAGCATGGGGAAAACCCGCCCCCATGATTCAATTACCTCCCACAATATGTGATGATTATGGGAGTTACAATTCAAGATGAAATCTGGGTAGGGACACCACCAAACCATACCATCTTATGTAATCTCCTCCCCTTGGAGTATGGGCAAGATCTACAGAGACAATGGGTTATCACTCCCGTGGTTGTGTAATATGGCAAAATAAGTTTCTACAGATGTAATTAAGGTTCCTAATCAGCTGAGTTACTCAAAAGGGAGATCATCCTGGGTGAGGCTGACCTAATCATGTGTGTTTTTAACAGGCAAATCCATCAGTCACAAACTAAAGAAGACAGAGTGACAAGTTCCTGCTGGCCTAGAAGAAAATAAAGAGTTGGCCAGGTGCAGTGGCTCATGCCTGTAATCCCAGCACTTTAGGAGGCTGAGGCGGGCGGATCACGAGTTCAGGAGATCAAGACCATCCTGGCCAACATGGTGAAACCCCATCTCTACTAAAAATACAAAAATTAGCTGGGCATGGCAGTGCATACCTGTAATCCCAGCTACTCAGGAGGCTGAGGCAAGAGAATAGCTTGAACCAGAGAGTCAGAGGTTGCAGTGAGCCAAGATTGTGCCACTGCACTCCAGCTTGGCAAAAGAGCGAGACTCCATCTCAAAAAAAAAAAAAAAAAAAAAAGAGATGTTGTGAACTGCCTGAGACAATTACATGCTAAGAACTAGGGGCTGAGAATAGCCTATGGCCAAGGGCCACCAGAAAAATGGAATCTCTCTTCTACAATCACAAGAAAATGAATTATGCCAACAACCCATATGCTTGGAAGAGGACCTCAAACCTTAGATAAGAATTGCAGCTCCAGCTAATTCTTTGATTTCAGCCAGGTAAGAAGACCCACACCCAGCTTCCTTACCCATGGTAACTGTGAGATAATACATTTGCATTGTTCTAAGCTACTAAGTTTTGAGTAATTTGTTATGCAGCATAGAAAACTAATACAGCAAGTTCAGAAGCTCATCTGAGCTTCCAGCAAAGAAGTGTTGCCAGAATTCAAACCTAAGCAGTCTTAGTCCATTCATTTACATGGTCATTCGTTCAACAGTGTTCCTGTTTCTGGGAATATAGCAGTGAATAATAGATGCCCCTGCTCTCATACAGAGTCTGTCCTAGTGTCACCGGACACCTTGCCTTTCATGCGATACTGCACTGCCTCCTTATAAATTGAGGGGTCTTTAAGACAAAGTCTAGCACAGCCAAACATAGGAGGAGATTTCAGATCCTTCCCTGCCTCTTTTCAGGATAGGTAATTTTTCCCAAATAAGAGAATGAGAAATGCAAACCAAGGTGAGACCACCAACCCTGTAGAATTCCCATCTATTCCACTTGGATTTGGCTTTCTTCTGGGACTCAGTGGGCCTGCTGAGGGGGTCTTTCTCAAATAACCCAAAGAAAGTCAGCATGGGGGCGCTTCGGCTGCAATGTCGTCAGTTCTACATTTAATTTGATTTAATCTGGTTTGTTCCTGTGGGGTATTTTTTTTTCCCAAAAAATCAGGTTGTGGGTTTGTTTTTTAAAAAATACTCAAGATAGGCCAGGCGCGGTGGCTCACACCTGTAATCCCAGCACTTTGGGAGGCCGAGGCAGGTAGATCACAAGGTCAAGAGATCAAGAGCATCCTGGCCAACATGGTGAAACCCCATCTCTACTAAAAATACAAAAATTAGCTGGGTGTGGTGGCACATGCCTCTAATCCCAGCTACTCAGGAGGCTGAGGCAGGAGAATTGCTTGAACCAGGGAGTCGGAGGTTGCAGTGAGCTGAGATCGCACTACTGTACTCCAGCAGCCTGGTGACAGAAAAAGACTGCATCTCAAAAAAAAAAAAAAAGAAAAAGAAAGATACTCAAGATAATTCACAGATTTCCCAAAAGAGTTTTTTTAAGGACTCATTACTTTGATGCCAGTGCTTAGAAAGGACCAGAAAACTATCACTACTCTTGGTGGGGCAGAGTTAAGCCAACTCTGGGTGATTAGGGTGCACCTGCTGGACGCCAGCACCCAGGAAAATGGTGAAAGCAAAGGAAGTTCATTGCATGGTCATGTCCTCAGAGAAATGGTACAGAAAAGCACATAAATATAAAACCCTAACATTATATGGCTTCACAAATGCAGACATCAATGGGCACACCCAGGAAAAGTCCATGGGCTTTGGAACCTCCCAGACCTGGGTTCTAATTCCTGCTCTGCCCCTCTCTTCCTTAGGAGATTTCCAGAGTAATAATAATAATAGCAATAGCCACAATTTTATTTAGTGCTCACAATGCTGAGCCCAATATATACATAATTGCAATCACTAGCTCTCATGAATCTAAAAAGTACAATATAATCTTTATTTTATAGATGAGGACATAAAGCTCAGAAGAGTTAAGCAACTTACGCAACATCAGCCAGCTAAATAGTTGGGAAAGTGATGTTTCTCTCCAAGTTTGCTTAATTCCTCAACCTAAACTCTGAGCTTCAGTTTCCTCATTTATAAAATGAGTTTGATAATCCTCACTCCATGAGGTTGCATGGAGGAATAAATGAGATAATGTCTGCAATGAATCTGGCCCACGTTAGGGGCCCCAGACATCTTAGTTTCCCATGCGGAAGCAATCAGTGGTCTGCACAAATCCCATCAGATTTCATGGAGGAGGTATGACCTGGGAAGAACGGATCAGACTCAGAGGCCATTTTGTTTCAAAGCCTTTAGAGGTGTCTCCAGTTCCTCTGTATAGTCAGGCTGCTGGGCACTATGCAAAAAAGAGAAATGCTGCCTGCTTAGTAAGAGTAATGCATTATTTCTCTTCTCCAGTAACTCTTCTCTAGTAACGGGTAAAGGAGTGTGTGATTCTGCTCTCAGTGCAAACGCTCAGTGTTGGGCACGCACTGGGATGCCCTGACTTGTCTGCTTTGCAGAACAGCCTCATAAAGAAGCAATGGTGTCTTCCCTGAGAAGTGATAAGCGCTTGTCTGTTTGAATTGAAAGAGAAATATTTATCCAGGTTGCAAAAGCCCTCCAGGAGGGCATTACATGAAAAACAAAAAAACAAAACAAAACAAAAAAGAAAGAAAGAAAGAAAAAGGAAGGAAATTTCTTGCTGTATTGAAGAATCAGTGCTTCCCTTTTGACATTTCATAAGGCATAAATCTGATAGCAACAGAAGCCCTAGAGACACACTGTTAGCTAAACTGCCGGTGAAGGCATATTGCTAAGGAACCCAGGGAGTGCTGTGTCCTTGCTGTTCTTATCCTGAGCACAACTCCTGTCTATGGTATCTCTGGCATACCTCTTCCTCCCAAGATTAACTCATCAGGGACTCCAGTTTACCCTCTTAAAAATGCATGTTTTAATCCTTGTCCCTGGCTCTCTTGCAGAACCCATCCTGGTCAGGCAATGACTCCGGGGCCTGAATTTAAGAAAGTTGGCACGGCTCTCTGGGGTCTTCCAACAGCTGGTCCTCATGTTTCTAGATGGCTTTTAAAAGTCACCCCTTTGCTCTTTGGTGAGAGGGAGAAGGAGAGCACCTGCTATGGGGGTGGTGCTGATAGGAGGAAGTGGAGGTTTAGACAGGATGACACCATTTATTCAGTGCTACCAGTAGCTAATGGTGGGTTTCAATGAGGCATTTGCTGCAGCAGCTTAGAAAAATATTTTTTAAATAATGACTGAGTGGAGTTCGGAAACTGATCATCTCTGAGATAAAATTTAAGGATCTCCTTACTTACAGAGGATGTTGGCATGCTGTGGATCTCAAACTTCAGCATACATACAATTTACCTGCTTGTTTTACTTATTATGATTATTATTATTATTTTGAGATGGAGTCTCACTCTGTCACCCAGGCTGGAGTGCAATGGCATGATCTCAGCTCACTGCAACCTCCATCTCCCGGGTTCAAGCTATTCTCCTGCCTCAGCCTCCTGAGTAGCTGGGATTACAGGCACGCACCACCACGCCCGACTAATTTTTGTATTTCTAGTAGAAATGGGGTTTCACCATGTTGGTCAGGTTGGTCTCTATCTCTTGACATCTTGATCCACCCACCTTGGCCTCCCAAAGTGCTGGGATTACAGGCGTGAGCCACCACGCCTGGCATGTTTTATTAAAAATTCCTGGCCCCTATCCCACAAAGTTCTGATCAACAGGGGAACCCATGAGTCTGCATTTAACAAGCCTTAGGTGTGATTTGATGCAATGGCTAGGGAGTCAACCTTTGTTAACCAATTAGATGAAAAGAGATTGGAGTCAGGCAGCAGCATCTGGCTCTGATTCAAATCCTCAGTGGGTCATTTACTTGCTGTGTGCCTTAGAGCATGTGACTTGACCTCTCTGGGCCTCGGGTTCCTCATCTGTCCAGAGCTGTCACCATTTGGAATCCTAATTTACAGACTCTTTGAACAGGAGAGGAACGAGGGCAGGAACCACTTGATTGAGCCCTTTCTGCAGACCAGCAATGTGATTGCATCCTCTCCAGCACTCTCTCGGCTAAGGAATTCTCCTTGTGAAGTTAAGGAGTACATACTAAGCTGGTTGGGCTTCTGAAAAATGTCTTCAAGGTGGTAGTTTCTGACCCATATTTTAATGTAAGGTAGATGCACTGAGTTCATTTTGATCAACACACATTGATTGTTTTATAAAATGAGAATCTGTTTGTACATGTTATATAATGCAACTTGATTCATTCGTTCAGCAAGCATTTATTGAGTTTCTACTGTGTTCTGGGCCCTATGTGAAATGCCAAGGACCAGGATGCCATGGTGAACAGGCACGGTCTGCCCTTTCCAAGCTAGGCACACTGGCATTCCTTGCTGGATGACGGGGTAATTTAATCAGAAGCAGCTGGAGCAGACACAGCCCCTCTCGGCCCACGTAGTCAAGGGAGAGAAAAAGCTGGGAGCCCACTGCACCTGGATCCAGGAGCTGAATCCGAGCTTGGCTGCTCTAAAATGAGAAAGCCTTGGGCCAGGTGAATTCAAAATACCTGCCTAAGATAAGTAGCAAAACAATGATGATGTGATATTTAAATACCAGAGCCCAGAATTCTTATCAGCTGTGCAGGCTTGTAGGGAGAAGACCAAAACAATGGAAAGGCCACACACTGGCTTAGACGTGAATACTGAGACATGAACAACCAGCTTTTCTCTAAACACAGTCCTCAGGACACTGACCACACAACCACCTGTGGAGCTTATTTAAAATGCAGGTTGCAGGGCCAGGCGCGGTGGCTCACGCCTGTAATCCCAGCACTTTGGGAGGCCGAGGCGGGTGGATCACGAGATCAGGAGTTCGAGACCAGCCTGACCAACATGGTGAAACTGTGTCTACTAAAAATACAAAAATTAGCTGGGCATGGTGGTGCGCGCCTGTAATCCCAGCTACTCAGGAGGCTGAGGCAGGAGAATCGCTTGAACTCGGGAGGCGGAGGTTGCAGTGAGCCAAGATAGTGCCGCTGCACCACAGCCTAGGCAACAGAGCGAGACTCCATCCCAAGAAATAAATAAATAAATAAATAAATAAATAAATAAATAAATAAATAATAAAAATAAATTAAATAGTAAATAAATAAATAAAATTCAGGTTGCTAGACCAGGCATAGTGGCTCTCACCTGTAATCCCAGCACTTTGGGAGGCTGGGGTGGGATGATCATTGGAGCCACCCAGAAGTTTGAGACCAGTCTGGGCATCATAGTGAGGTCCTCCATCTCAACAACAACAAAAAAATTAGGTGGGCATGGTGGCACATGACTGTAGTCCCAGCTACTCAGGAGGCTGAGGCAGGAGGATCATTTGAACCCTGGAGGTTTAGGCTGCAGTGAGCCATGATTGTGCCATTACACTCTGGCCAGGATGACAGAGTGAGGCCCCAATACAAAAACAAAAATTCAGATTGCTAACCCCCTAACCCAAATTTACTGAGTTGAACCTCAAGGCGGAGGGTGTGTGAAGCACATATACAGCGAGAACATCTCCTGCTTCCCTCACCTGGTGAGCCTATTCCATCTAGTCTGAGAAGTGCTGCAACCTGCTATATCTAGTCTATATATTGTTTATAGTACACATGGGCCAGGGCACATGCCCCTGGCCCAGGAACAAGATGACTTGTCCTTTTGGTAGGAAAGATAATAAAAATAATAATTGATAATATTTACTGAGCACCTTCTATCTTCCAGGGAGTGGTCCAGGCACTTTACATACAACTCATTTGATCTTGGCAATAACCTCATTGTAGTGTTCTTGTTACCCCCACTTTACAGATGGAGAAACTGAGACACAAAGAGTTCAGCGACTTACCCAAGGTCGTATTCATTAGGAATGCAGCCAAGATGCAAACTCATACCTATAGACGACATAGTAAAGGATCCAGCGTTTTGTAAAAACAAAACAAAATAAAAGCAAGGTGCTGGCCGGGTGCGGTGGCTCACGCCTGTAATCCCAGCACTTTGGGAGGCTGAGGCAGGCAGATCACCTGAGGTCAGCCTGGCCAACATGGAGAAACCCCGTCTCTACTAAAAATACAAAAATTAGCCGGGCGTGGTGGCACATGCGTGGTGCAATCTCGGCTCACTATAACCTCTGCCTCCCAGGTTCAAGCAATTCTCTTGCCTCAGACTCCCAAGTAGCTGGGATTACAGGCACGCACCACTTTGCCCGGCTAATTTTGTATTTTTAGTAGAGACAGGGTTTCACCATGTTGGTCAGACTGGTCTTGAACTCCTGACCTCAAGTAATCCACCTGCCTCGGCCTCCCAAAGTGCTGGGATTACAGGCATGAGCCACTGCGCCCGGCCAGAATATGCATTTTAAGATCCACAGGTGATTCTCATGGAAGCATAGGCTAGAGAATTGGTCTCCAAAAGGAGGAGTGTTAGATAGGGAATAAAAATACTGATCTGCTGGGAGTGTGGGAAGAAAATATTAGAATTTCTATTTACTTTTAATCTCTTTTTTAAATGTCTGATATTTTTCTGTGTGTTAACATATACATAGTTGATTAGTACTGAGCACACAATACACAGTTTGTTAAGTAAACATTGTCCTGAATGAAGGGGGTCTCACAGTCACACACACTCAGATAATATTAACCCTTTCTTCCCTGCAACGCTCCCAGCACCAACTTCCAGGAGCTCTATTATTGGGTGGGAATAGAGCTCCTTTCCCATGCATGCTGTTTTCTTCCTTTGAGTAAAAAACTCTTGGCTGGGCGCAGTGGCTCACACCTGAAATCCCAGCACTTTGGAAGGATCACCTGAGGTTGGGGGTTCGAGACCAGCCTGACCAACATGGAGAAACCCCATCTCTACTAAAAATACAAAATTAGCTGGGCATAGTGGTGCATGCCTGTAATCCCAGCTACTTGGGAGGCTGAGGCAGGAGAATTGCTTGAACCGGGAGGCAGAGGTTGTGGTCAGCCAAGATTGTGCCATTGCACTCCAGCCTAGGCAACAAGAGCGAAACTCCGTCTAAAAAAAAAAAAAAAAAAAAAAAGACTCTCCGTTTTTGAAATACTTGCCATCTCTATCCCCACTGGGAGGGGAAGAGAGATTGAAATCCTTGGAAAATTGGTGGCCCAGCCACTTTCTCTTGCATCCCCTCGGAGAGAATGCATGCATTTCACTCGGCTCTTCCCTGGAGAGTTTTGAAGGGGGCAATTCTGCCTCTACACGGGGTGCCTGGCATCACCAGTCCCCTCTGCATATTCTATCAACTCTCTCTTCTGCCCTTCCCCCATTGTGCTAGTCTGGAAAAACCTAAATCCTGGTCAACTTCAACACTCAGTCTGCTCATTGCCTGCCCCAGGAAGTTGTATGTGGCTGAGAAAACACGCGCAAGGTAGCTGACAGCCCTCCCCTTAAATTCAGATTGAAATTCAGATGGGCCCTAATCCTGCCTGGCAGACCTGCCATGTTTTCCCACTCCTGTCTTCCTCTTTTCTGCCAGATGACTTTCCCGCATTCCTCCCTCCCCACCCTTAGCTAAGGACCTTTGTCTCCTGTGTCACATTGTGAGAAGGCACCTGTCCTTTGTCAAGGCTTGTCTCGCCTGGATTTTGTATTTAGATATTTCAGTCCCCTGGAATCAAATCAGATCACCATCACTGCTAATTTTGTGCTCTTTCCAGCACACATAGCACCACTGGCTCCCCATCAATGTTGAATACAAACACCACGTTTTTAGAAACTGCCCTTTTTCCAAGCACCTTATTAATCCTCAAAGCATTTGTAAGCTTTAAAAAATTTTTGCTAGCAGCATGTGACATGAGGGACAGGCCACAGCTCACGTTCCCCATTTTCCAGACCAGGAAAACTGGGACGCTCGGCTGAGTTCCTGGTCCAGCATCATACGGTGAGTCAAGTTAGAGTTGGAGGGTTTTGTCCCCTCTTTAAAACCCACCGCCTCTTTGGGACTGTATTCTAACAAAAGGGAATCAAAAAATGCAAAATACAAAGGCTTCTCCCCTGCCCCCCAAATGAGGCTGAATAATGCAGCTGAAAGTTATCTGCAATTGTGGCTGGTTTCAAGGCCCAGAATGTAGGATGGGGGCTAGGGGAACTGGGGAGAGGTCAGTGTTTTCATCCAATGAGACTTTTTGAAATAATGAAAATGACCCAGATCTGGGCTGTCTGCAAAGGGCTTTCAGTTCCTCTTGTGGCTCTCAAATACCAGCCAGGCTGAGCATAAGCTGTGAAGAATTACCTGAGCCTATTAAAAATACATATTTCTAGGCCCTAACTGAGACATACTGAATCAGATTCTCCAGGGTTGGATCAGAAAAATCTTTATTTTTTAACACACTCCTTAGCGTTCCTGATGCTAGGTTTAGGAACCCCTGAGTCCTTGTCATTATGAATCTATTTACAGTATATCCTAAAACGGCAAAGCTCTCAGGAGCTTAGAGATAGTTTAGTCTCTCACCCCTCATTTTACATATAAGAAAACTGAGTCTCAGAGAGCAGATGGGACCTGTCCAAGTTCCTGGACCCAGAGTAAGTTAACTGTAGTCCATTTAACTTTGAGTTACAGTCCCAGATCTAACTTTGGGATCAAATTGACATCACTGAAATTCACTTGTATATTAACTTTTAAATGGCTAAAAAGCAGAGTCAGGTTTCTCATTTAGATTCCTCTCTCTGGTAAAGCGAATCATCTGAGTCACGAATAGGCTTCCTCACACCCCATAGGATTTTATAAAGTGACTTCCATCCTGAACAGGAAATGCATCCCATGGGCCTTCTTATTTTTCTGTGTTGGTCTTTGGGTATTTGGCAGAGTTGGTCCCGAGATCAGGTCTCAGGTCTCAGGAATGTTTTGCTCACCATCTCTCATTGTCCCACTCTGTTGAATCCCTGTAAGTGGCTTGAGTCTTCCAAACCCTGAGTGCTCAAGTGACCTCCTTAGTCAGACCCTGAAAGGCACTCACCTGCATCAAACGAAATGCAAATACATTCTGCACACACTTTCTCTCTGTGGCAGGGAGGTTGTATGCACTGGTGACATCCTTAAAAAGAAAAACAGGCTGGGCGCAGTGGCTCATGCCTGTAATCCCAGCACTTTGGGAGGCCAAGGCGGGCAGATCACCTGAGGTTGGGAGTTCGAGACCACCCTGACCAACACGGAGACACTCTGTCTCTACTAAAAATACAAAATTAGCCAGGCGTGGTGGCACATGCCTGTATCCCCAGCTACTTGGGACGCTGAGGCAGGAGAATTGCTTGAACCCAGGAGGCAGAGGTTGCAGTGAGCTGAGATTGCGCCATTGCACTCCAGCCTGGGTAACAAGAGTGAAACTCTGTCTCAAAAAAAAAAAAAAAGTAAAACAAAAAAGCACATGCCCCTGGCCCAGGAACAAGAGTCACTGATGGGAGAATAAACATGCCACCATCTGAGTGGGTGACAGATTGGGAGGACAATTACAGCTGGTACTACTGGGAGTCCCTGGCAAGGTCTCTCCCTCTAAGGATTTGTCCCTAGAGTCTTTGCTTGAGCCTGCTGAACTCTGGCTTGTTTATCTTGCTTCTGGCAAGCCGAGCGCTTCCCCAGATAGCCACCTCCTTAGACTGACCCGTCTCCTGGGAGCACTGAGCCCAGCATGGTGCCTGGCACTTGGGCATTCACAAAAATATCTGTTGAACCTTTGAACTGAACTTACCCTTTCTGAAAACATATGTTTCTTGGGCGGCTTCCAACCTAACAGCTGATGCCGAAGTGAGTTCAATTGAATTTCTATCCAACAAGCATGGAATGCCTGCTGTTTGCTGTAGCTGTATTAAGATCAATGAAATAGAGGCCCTCCTCACCAAAGGCTGCAATCTAGGGGAAAACGCAGACACACATTCACGTCATCCCTACATAAGGCAGCCTCTGATAAACGTAACTCAAAGAAGTACAAAGAGGCAGGCGGCACAAAGGGAAGACTCCTGCTTGACTTTCTCCTTTATAGTTTATCCAAACACCTCCTAAACCACTGCAGATTACTTATTGCCTTCTTCCCCCACCCAAAATGGTAAGCTCAAGGGTGGAAATCTTTGTTTCTGTTCACTGATCTTGCCAATCACCAGAAGAATTCCTGGCACTTAATAGGTAATTCACAAATATTTCTGATTCATTTTTGAATCAGATAGGATCTAGATTCCAATCCTTTTTGCTGTCTATTAGCTACGTAACCTAGGATCACTTTTTTTTTTTTCTGGCTTCAATTTCCTCCTCAAAGAATCAGGAATACTAGCAGTTGTTGTCAGAATTAACGTTTATAAAAATGTAGTTCTCAACTGATGGTATTAATGTTGCGATCATCATACTGATCTTAATATTTTTAAAAGGCACAGTATCTTGGGAGAAAACTTGGTTAATTATGGCTGGGCATGGAGGCTCATGCCTGTAATCCCAGGAGGATCACTTGAGCTCAGGAATTCAAGACGAACCTAAGCAACATAGTGAGATCCTGTCTCTTCAAAAATAAATAAATAAATAAGAAAAAAGAAAAGGCTATTAATTGTAACTGGCACACTGATTCTATTTTTCAAGTATTCATTAGGTTTCTGCCAGCCACAGTAGTAACAGGAAAACCAATTCATGGTGACTTAAACAAATAGGGATCTATTTTTTTCCCATATAACAAAAAATCTGGAAGTGCCTTCACAATGTCAGGGCTGGTGTCTCTGCAATTCTCTTGATGGGAAAGGATGGCAAACTATGGCCCACAAGCAAATCCAATGCACTTCAAAGAAAGGTTATTTTGGAACACAGCCACTCTCTCTTGTTTACATATTGTCTATGGTTTTTGAACTCCAATAGCAAAATTGAGTAGTTGCAACTGAGACTCTATAATGCACATTGCCTAAAATATTGGCTAAAATAGTTCTTATTTGTCCTTTATGGAAAAAGTTTTCCAACCCCTGTTCTTTATGATTGCTTAATCAATGGTCACACCTCCAAAAGCACATCTGCTTTCAAGACAAGAAGAGTCCTAGCTACTCGGAAGGCAGAGGCAGGAGGATCACATGTGCCCAGAAGTTTGAGGGTGCAGGAGTTTGAGCTATGATGGCATCACTGCACTCCTGCCTGAGTGCAGAGTGAAACTCTGTCTCTAAAAAATAACCTCCCCACACAAAAAAAGACAGAAAGAAAGACAAGAGGGAAGAGGTGACATAGCCATGTTTGTCCTTCTAATCAGGAAAGCAAAAGCTTTTCCAGAAGGCCCAGCTGACCTCCCTTTTCAGCTCATTGGTCAGAACTGGGTCACATGTCCACTTCTTGCTGAAGAGGAGTCTGGGAAAGTAGGAAATGGATTGTTACAATTGGTTAGACTGACCTGGCCAATAAGGGAGCTACTAGCCACAGGTACCTCTTCAGCTCTTGAAATGTGGTTGGTCCAAATAGAGATGTGCTGTAAGCACAAAATACACATCAGATTTCAAAGACAACACAGAAAACAGAATGTAAACTATTTCATTAATTAGTGAAAGAATCTATTTCAAATGAATTATATGTTAAAATGTTAATATTTTGGATATAATGGGTTAAATAAAATATAATATCAAAATCAATTTCAGCCGGGTGCAGTGGCTCACCCCTGTAATCCCAGCACTTTGGGAGGCTGAGGTGGATGGATCACTTGAGGTCAAGAGTTTGAGACCAGCTTGAGCAACATGGTGAAACCTCATCTCTGCTAAAAAAAAAAAATACAAAAATTAGCCGGGTGTTGTGGCAGGCACCTGTAATCCCAGCTACTCAGGAGGCTAAGGCAGGAAAATTGCTTGAATCCAGGACCCAGGAGGCAGAGGTTGCAATGAGCCGAGATCATGCCACTGCCCTCCAGCCTGGGTGACAGAGTGAGACTCTGTCTGAAAAAAATAAATAAATAAAAATCAGTTTCACCTGTTCCTACCTACTTTTTCAATGTGGCTACTAGAAAATTTTAAATTTCGTACGTGCCTCACATTCTTGGCTCTCATTATATTTCTATTGGACAGCACTGTACTAGACTAATCATGATCTGTTGCCTGAGGCTGGGAAAATTGCTACCCTCCACTACAGGAACATTCTGTTGGCAAGGAGAAAATGGGAGCAGACATTGGATAGTAACTATAGGGTTTGCTGTTATTCATTTATTAAAAAAAGAAAAAGAAATGAGTACCTAGTCCATGCCAAGCACTATGCTAGATGCTTGGAATACAACAGTGAGCAAAACGGATGTGGTCCTTGCCCTCGTGAAATTTAAAAAGTCTTCCTGGAACAAGTAATATTGGACCTAGACTTTAGAATGGGATGGGCCTTGACAGGCAGTGACAGGCAATGTTGGGTGAGATGGGCTGGAGGGCATAGCAGGCTGAGGGAGGGGAAAGGGGAGACATCTGGGGAATGGAAGGAGGCAGGGTGACGGGGACCCCTTCCACCCAGGCCCACCGCCCTCCTCTTCCTGTTCCATCCTAACCCAAGCATATTCATCTTCTCTCCACTTCCCAAACATACCATGTCCTTTCTCACCTTTGAGACTTTGCATGTCCCACTCTGCTAACTGGAATGCCCTTCCTCCTCTCTGTCTCCCCGTTAGAGAAAGACTATTGTACCTTGAGGCTCAGTGAAAGCATCCTCTCTTCTGGGAAAATGTCCTTGGTCCCTGATCCAGAGGTTAAGCTCTACTTTCTTTGTGTGCTAATAATAACAATAAAAGTAGTATAGTAGTAGTAACCATCTACTGAGCACTTACTATATATCTGACACTATGCTAAATACTGTATATTAATTAAACTGAGTTTCATGACCACCTTATCAAATAAAAAAAATTTTTTTTTGAGATGGAGTCTCGCTCTGTCGCCCAGGCTGGAGTGCAGTGGCACAATCTCGGCTTACTGCAAGCTCCGCCTCCCGGGTTCCCACCATTCTCCTGCCTCAGCTTCCCGAGTAGCTGGGACTACAGGCGCCCACCACCGCACCCGGCTAATTTTTTTTTTTATTTTTTAGTAGAGACGGGGTTTCACCGTGTTAGCGGGGATGTTCTCGATCTCCTGACCTGTGATCTGCCCGCCTCAGCCTCCCAAAGTGTTGGGATTACAGGCGTGAGCCACTGCGCCCGGCCATCAAGTAAAATTTTTAGCCTATTTTCCAGATGAAGAAAGTTTAGAAAAATTGACAGTTCCATTTCACATGGCCTAAGCTAAAACTTTGAACAGGAAAAAAAACGTAGGCGGCTGTGAGGAGTGGGAAAAAGGCATTTTAGAGAGGACATGGTGTTTCTCCAACAGGAGAGGCAGATGGGGCAGGGGTGAGACAGGGGAAGAGGGGAAAGAGCAAGCAAAGAGTAAATGGGGAGGAGCCCACATACCCCACAAAGACGTGTGAATTTCACTCTGGAGATAATTGTATGTCAAAGAAAGAATCTACACAGATGAAGGGTATTATTAAATTTGCATGTTGGAGATGGGAGGACATTTAGTAGGTGACCCTTTCCATCCAGACAAAAGATGATGAGTGGAGGAAGAAGGGCAATGGCAGCAGGAACAGAGACTTGTGAGGGCTTTAGGAGTGCTCTTGGCAGTCTGGTGAATAATCGGCACATTAAGTTGGGAAGATGAGATTTACTCCCCAGCTTCCAACAGGGCTGTATCACTCATCTCAGTTAACCCCACATCACCCTTCAATTAGGTGTTTGCATTCTTGTTTTACAGATGAGAACACTGAGCCCCAGACAGGATACGCGGCCTGCTTAAGGTCACACCAAGAATATCACAGCAACAGAGTATGCCTGACCTTTCCAAAGCCCAAGATCTTGCCATAATTCTATACTGCCTCTAATCCAAAACCGGGACCTGATTCTCTATCCTCAGCAGTTCTTGTTTGTCAGTCATTAAATATGGGATGACTTGCTGATATTAAGTATCAAGTATTTAAATGCTTCACTCATCTGCAAAGCATTTTGCCATCCTGGGTCTTCATGTGGCTTTCATTTTATTCCCTCTTGGGCAAATACCATGCTGCAGCTGGATAATAGGACCTCCATGTATGCACTCATGCCTCTAATGGTAAAAAAAAGTTACTTACCTTTCCTGACCTTGAGCGCCACCCCTGCTCCACCCATCCTCCTCCTATTCATCTCCCTCCTTCTTTATCTCAGTCAGCACAGAAGGAATCCATCCAGAAGGCCACAGAATCTTCCACAAAGCAGAATGTATAGGGAACGTTGTACCTTGGTTCTACTTTAGGGAAGGGTAAAATTTTGTTTAAAAAAAAAAAGACTAGGCCAGGCATGGTGGCTCACGCCTGTAATCCCAGCACTTTGGGAGGCCGAGGCGGGCGGATCACGCAGTCAGGAGATCAAGACCATCCTGGCTAACACGGTGAAACTGGTCTCCACTAAAAATACAAAAAAATTAGCCAGGTGTGGTGGCAGGCGCCTGTAGTCTCCGCTACTCGGGAAGCTGAGGCAAGAGAATGGCGTGAACCCGGGAGGCAGAGCTTGCAGTAAGCCAAGATCGTGCCACTGCAATCCAGCCTGGGTGACAAAAAAATAAAAAAGACTAAATTAAATGAGTGTACCCCCAAAAGCCTTGGATTTAAACTCAGTTATGGCATTTGTCACCTTCTAATTGGCTTTTGAGTCAGCTGCAGAATGTGGTCCCTCTCACTCTATGGTAAGTGCTTTGTGGTCAGAGCCAGAGTCTTCCCCATCTTGGTATCCACAAAGCTGTCCTCACCCAGTGCCTTGGCAAGTAATTAATGCCTTCGATGTCCACTTTCCTCATCTCAGAATGGGAAGAACAATGCCCAACCAAGCAGGTTGATGTCATTAAATGAGACAAGCATGTGCCCAGCAGATAGAAGCTACTCAGTGAATTTTTCTTAGTTCTTTTGTTTGGTGGTGGTGGGAGACAAGGTCTCTCTCTGTTGCCCAGGCTGTAGTTCAGTGTCATGACCATAGCTCACTGTAACCTCAAACTCCTAGGCTCAAGCAATCCTCCTGCCTCAGCCTCCCAAGTACCTAGGCTTACAGGCACATGTCAGAGGGTCTTACTACGTTGCCCAGGCTGGTATCAAACTCCTGGACTTAAGTGATACTCCCTCCTTAGACTCCCAAACTGAATTTTCTTAGTTCTTAAAAGAATGTGGGAAAAATTAAATACAAAAGGATAGCTTTATAGTTAAATAAGTTTTACCTGTATGTTGTGCAAGACTAGCCTTTTTTTTTCTTCTGTAAAGGCATTTCACACTTATTCTAAGTATAATTTGTTTATAAAAATATACTTAGTACCTATGGTATTCTTACCACAATGCTAGTGATTATTGCAAGGATGGGCAGGAGAAGGCAATACACATGATAGAAGGAAAAGAGGGACTAACACTTATTGAATAACTACTAATTGTCAGACATTGTTAAGAGCTGAATTTTGCCCCCATCTCAGTTCATATGTTGAAGCCCCAACTATCGTGGGATCTGGCCAGCAGCCCACAATGCAGCAGGGCTCTTTCTTTGTTCCCAGGTGGATCGGCAGGTCGAGAAATAATAGACACACACAAGATAGTGAAAGCTGGGTCCATGGGGGTCACTGCCTTCTGGTCCTGTGGTGCCGCCGATGCACTGGATATATCAGCATTTATTATTAAGTTTAGTGAGGGCAGGGGTAGGTTAGTGAGGGATTTAGGGTCATTTGATTATGACGTGAGATGGTCACATGGGGATGAAGTAATTCTTTAACATAACATCTATACAACAACCCCCAGTACCACAGAACATGAATGTACTTAGAGACAAAGTCTTTAAAGAGGTGATTATGGTAAAACGAGGTCAAATGGGTGAATCCTAATCCAATATGATGGTGTCCTTATAAGAAGAGGAGATGAGGACACAGACGTGCACAAAGGGAAGACCATGTGGGCATGCACAGAGAAGACAGCCACCTGCAAGCCATGGAGAGAGGCCTCAGAAGAAACGACCCTGCTGGGCTACATGCCGTGGCTCATGCCTGTAATCCCAGCACTTTGGGAGGCAGAGGCGGGAGGACCACCTGAGGTCAGGAGTTCGAGACCAGCCTGGCCAACATGGTGAAACCCTATCTCTACTAAAAATACAAAAATTAGCTGGGTGTGGTGGTGCATACCTGTAATCCCAGCTACTCAGGAGGCTGAGGCAGGAGAATCACTTAAACACGGGAGGCAGAGGTTGCAGTGAGCCGAGATTGCGCCATTGCACTCCAGCCTGGGTGACAGAGTGAGACTCTGTCTCAAAAAAAAAAAAAAAAAAAAAAAAATATATATATATATATATAGGAGAAACAACAGTAAAATGAAAAAGAGAAAGAAACATTTCTCACAGCTAAAGAAAGATGCGTGGCTTCCGATTTAAAGGGCACACGAATGCTGAACAGTCTGAATGAGAAAGACATTATTTTGACCTTGTAATTGTGGGTACCTGGCACAAGAGGGACTCAGAGGTAACTGGGTTCCCACCTTTACCCTTCACATTTGATGCTAGGCACATGACTCTATGGAGGTAGCTTCCTTTCTCTCCCATCTTCAACGGGACTTCTTTCTGTTATCTAAGATGAAATAAAAGCATTCATTTAGAATTCATCTTTGATTCTGGGCCAATATTTGTGGTGTATGGAATTGGAAGTGTCCATTTCAGAAGAGGGTTGTGGTGTAATTAGAGTTTATTAGTCTCTACAGTGTGTGTTCATCAGAAGTTCATCCAGTTTGACCTAGTGTTGGCCTGTGACAGTCTAAAGCTTTAATCCCTGCCAAATTAGAGTGGAAATCATGATAAGGAACCATCTAGAGATTTTTAATTGCAGATAAAACATACAAAATGTTTTTTGAAATCTCATGTAACAATCTGTTTGGATAATATTATTGGAGATGTTGACATTTAAGTGAGAAAATTATTGTGCATAAAGTGAAGCAGAATGAAGATGGTAAGAATCTCTGAGCAGATAGCAAAAATAAAAAGCTACATAAACCAGTTGATTTTTAAAATTAGCACAGCTTTAATCTGAGATGCAAGATATCAGTTTTGTAAGCATTATTCAGGGCTGGCACTTGGTGAGGTCCTACGTCTCTGGAGGAGTAAACAGTTCACGGGATTATTTTGTTAATCAACTCTGAGGAGAGAGATTTGGACAAAAACACTTTACTTAGTAAATGAAACATATTTAATTTGCTGTCTCATTCTTTGTCAGTTTGTCATTAGAGGAACCCGTATCAAGACTTATAGCAACAGCTTTCCATCAATAGTTGTTTGACAGTTACTATGCTACTAGGTGCACCTTTCAAATTTATAATTAGGAAGACTTGGCAGATGGGACATATTGATCAATAACATAGTCAATTTTCTATTATGGAAATAAATTGATATTTCCACTGTAAAAACATTTCTTTCAGTACCTCAGAACAACACTATTTGTTTCCAGCAAGAAGGTAACTAAGAGGAGGCATAAATGTTTGACAAATTATAATAGGCATTTACCAATTCTTTCAACTACATTCCATTTTCAATATTCCTAGAAGATATCAGGGCTTAGCAACTTTCTTACGGGAAATTATTCTCAGATTTTTGCCTTTAGTCAAGAGAACTGGATCCAATACTTCTCATATAGTTCATCCTATCAGGATCAACGTTATCAGAGATGGAATTGGCATTGATGGGAGAAGTAATACAATGGAATGGGCATAGTTTTAAGAATCAGACAGATATAGACACATGTCTTGGCTTTGAACTTGAAGACATTGCTAATTATCTCTGAACCTTAGCTTCCTTGCCTATAAATTGGAATCAACTCAATCCAGATTCAAATTCTGACCCTTTTACTTATACTAGCAAGGTGAACCTAATCAGTTTATTAGGCCTCTCTTAGCTTTGCTTTCCTCAATGAACTGTGGTGAGAGTGAAACAAAATACATACATAAATATCACAGCACCAAGGGCATGCCTAACAAATTTTAGTTCCTCTCCCTTCCCTATGCTATGTTATCTGAGTAATGTACAAACAATGCACCAAGGTACAGAAATTTGAGGTACAGTTGTGCAAAGCATTCAGTCTTTTTAGATGTCATTTCCTCTAAGAAGGTGAATTTATATCCAAATATGAAATCACATTAATGTACCAGCTTTGTTATCCATTGTTTATGGCATATAAATAAGCAAATCAATCTCATATCTTTGTTGAGAAGCAATTATACACAAGGTATGAGAGCAGATGATATGAAGACCATGTCATGACCACAAATCTCAAGAAGGTTAAATCCAGCGGGGAAGTCTCTGCTCAGTCCAAGAACAAACATAGTTATGACAATTACACTAATGTCTCCCAGGGTGAAGGGGAGCCCAGACTCTCAGGATCTCAGGAATTTTCACCAGTAGCTAACTTCTGCTGAAATATATCAGATCTTCTGTGTTCTGAGTCTCCTGGCTCCTGGGGTATGCCTTTCCCACTATGAATCTAGCCTGCTTGAGGAGCGGGGAATGAGTCAGTCCTGCTCTAATTACTGACAGTGTTATCATTGGCACAATCTACCTCAAGCTGAGATATTATCTACTCTCTCCATTGCAGCCACTTCAATATTGAAGAATGCTCTGAAGCAGAATCAAACCTGGCCACTGCCTTGGGACTCGGGTCTTGGAAACCATCTCACGATGGTCAGGATGGACAATGGTACCATTTATAAGGAAGATGAGAAGAAAAAAAAATTAACAAAATCCTTGTTTGGGAAGAGAATGAGAATGGAAAGTCAAGAGTTCTATTTTGAATATGTTAAGTTTTACATTCCCACTCAACACCTGTGTGGAGATGTCTAGTAGAATTTTAGATATGTGAGTCAGGAACTCAAAGGAGATGGCTGAAATAGTGAACTGATGTTATAAATTGGAGAACTATATTATTACATGGAGCTAAGTAGAGCCATGAAATTATTATAGCTCTCCAGAGGCAAGAATGTAGAGAAAGAAAATAAACCAACCCTGGGGAAGATCTCCTGAGGATATGGCATTGGAGAATGAACAAGATTTGGATGGATAAAGAGAGAGGAATGCCTTCAGGTAGTTCAGCGTATGAACAAAGAGCCTGGAGAGCACATTATGGTGTCTTGTTTGGGGCTACTAAAGATACTAACTAACTGAGTTTTCAAACAGTGTCCTATGGAACCCGGTTCCCCAGACCTACTGGGGGCTACCATTTTGGGTCTAAAGAGAGGTCAGCCATGTGGGTCTCTAGTCTCCCATCCCTGCTTCAACCATAACTACTTATTTCTTGTCTCTTTTATGATTTTTCATATAATATTGTCTGTAAAGAGAGAAATTCAATGCTTCTTAAAAATTATATTTTTTGTTTGTTTTTAATTGACACATAATAATTGTACATATTTATGGAGTACAGTGTGATGTTTTGATACATGTATACATTGTGTACAAATTAAATCAGGGTTTTAGCATACCCATCACCTCATACATTTATTATTTCTTTGTGGTGAGAACATTCAAATTTTGGCCTTCTAGCTACTGGAAATATACAATCCAATATTGTTGACCATAGTCAACAATAGAACACCAGAACTTATTTCTCCTATTTAACTGTAACTTTGTATCTGTTAACCAGTCTCTCTCTACTGCCTCCTTACCCTTCCCAGCCTCTAGTATCCATTATTCTACCCTCAACTTATACAAAATCAATGTAATGTTTAGATTCCATATATGAGTGAAATAGTGTGGTATTTGTCTTTGTGTGCCTGGCTTATTTTACCTAACATAATGTCCTCCAGGTTCATCCATATTGCTCCAAATGACAGGATTTCATTCTTTTGTTGTGACTGAATAGTATTCCATTGTATATATGGATATATATACAAATATATATATATATATGTATACATACTTGGATATATACATATATCACATTTTCCTTATCCATTCATCTATAGTCAGACACTTAAGTTGATTCCATATCTTAGCTATTGTAAACAGTGCTGCAATAGACATGGGGGTGCAGATATCTCTTCGGCACACTGATCTCATTTCCTTTGGCTATACACCCAGTAGTAGGATTGCTGGATCATATGGTAGTTCTATTTTTAATTTTTTGAGTAGCCTCCCTACTGTTTTGCATAATTGCTTTGCCATTTTCATTTCCACCAACAGTGTATAAGAGTTTCTTTCTCCACATCCATGCTGGCATTTGTGTGTGTGTGTTTTTTGATAATAGCCATTCTAACTGGAAGGAGATGGTATCTTGTTGCATTTTTGATTTGCAGTTCCCTGGTGCTTAGTGATGTTGAACATTTTCTCACATATCTGTTGGCCATTTGTATGTCTTCTTTTGAGAAATGTCTAAACAGGTCTTTTGCTCATTTTTAAAACAGATTTTTTGGTTTTTTGCTATTGAGTTGTTTGAGTTTCTTATATATCCTAGATGTTAACACCTTGTCAGATGCATAGTTTGCAATTATTTTCTCCCATTCCATAGATTGTCTTTTCATTCTGTTACTTGTTTCCTTTGCTGTGCAGAAGCTTTTAGTTTGATGTAATACCATTTGTCTATGTTTGCTTTTGTTGTCTGTGCTTTTGAGGTCCTATCCAAAAAACCCTTGCCCAAATCAATGTGATGAAGTCTATGTTTCTTTCTAGTAGTTTCATAGTTTTAGGTCTCACACTTAAGTTTTTAATCCATTTTGAGTTGATTTTTGCATGTGGTTAGAGATAGGGGGTCTAGCTTTATTCTTCTGCATGTGAATATCCAGTTTTCCCAGACACTTTATTGAAGAGATGTCCTTTCTCTATTGTGTGTTCTTGAAACCTTTGTTTCAAATCAGTTGGTTGTATGTGCAGGGATTTATTTTGGTGTTCCCTACTCTGTTTTATTGATCTATGTGTCTGTTTTTATGCCAGTACCATGCTATTTTGATCATTATAGCTTTGCAGCATATTCAGAAGTCAGGTAATTTGATGCCTCTAGCTTTGATCTTTCTTCTCAAGGTTGCTTTGGCTATTAAGGGTCTTTTGTGATGCCATATAAATTTTAGGATTGTTTTTTCTATTTCTGTGAAGAATGTCATTTTTATAGATATTGCTGGGTACTATGACATTTTAACAATATCAATTCTTCCAAGTCATGAGCATGGAATATCTTCTCATTTATTTAATGCTTTTAAAAGAAGTAGGTTTTCTTATAATATCACAGGTGCAGGAGTACCAAGAAATGTCTTGTCTTCTAGATTCTGGCACTTATGTCTGTGTGACTTTGATCAAGTTTGATATAAAGTTTGATCATTTGATATAAAATGAGGCTACTAGCCTTTCCAACTTAGTCAATTAGCTGAGAGAATTAAATAAGAAAATTTGTAAAAGTAATTAACAGAGTGTGTGACATCCAGTAGGTTCTCAACCCTTGCTGGTTTCTTTCCTTTCTTGAATGAGTGCTGACCTGGAAAAATTAATCCCAAGAACAGCAGTTTCTGGATTCTCTAGCATTGCTAGCCTGATTCCCAAGCCTTTTCATCTCCTTGGGGGTCTTTTTTTCTTCTCCCAGTCTCAGCAACATGCACCCATACGCTCATACACAGGCACCTACACACAATTTTATTTTCTTCCCGTTGCCAACAATGTCAAGTTTTCACTTTATTACAGCCTCACCTGTTCAGGCTCCCTCTCACACCCATGAATTCCTACATGGCAGTCCTGCTGGACCAATGTCTCCCCAGGGCCCAGTGAGCTTCCTGGTGCTCCACGCAGCTACCTGGTCCTGTCTGGGAACCTGCTGCAGGGAGGAAACTGCCCAATGGCCCTGCTCCTCTTAGGGGCTGGGCTTGAATGGGAGGCTTTGAGAATCCAAGAACTCACTTTATCCCACTCAGAGCCAGAACTGAAGATGTCTGGGGGGAGAGCTAGGTGCCTGGAGAATGGAAAGAGAGAATTTTAGACATTCAGGACTTCTTGGGTTTATTTATTTATTTTTTTTTTTTTTTTGAGACAGAGTGTCACTCTTTTGCTCAGACTGGAGTGCAATGGTGTAATCATGGCTCACTGCAACCTCAAACTCCTGAGCTCAAGCAATCCTCCCACTTCAGCCTCCTGAGTAGCTAGGACTACAGGCCTGAGCCACCACACACAGCTGATTTTTAAATTTTTTGTAGAGACAGGGTCTTCCTGTGTTGCCCATGCTGGTCTTGAACTCCTGGCCTCAAATCATCCTCCTGCCTCAGCCTCCCAAAGTGCTGGGATTACAAACATGAGCCACCACTCCTGGCTGACAAGAGAGACATTTTAAAGGTCTATTTAAATGATGGAAAAGTTATAAATTTCTGCTTTCCTCCCTGGACCAGATTGTATTTTCCAAAGACGGCAGCACCATTTCCATCCCTCAGGCTCTTCTACAATGTGACCCTGACACTCCTCTGTCAAGAGGTCGGATCCATTTCTCCTCCTTTTGAAATCTGAGCTGATTGTAGGACTTCCTTGTAACCAGCAGCATGCGGCAGAAGTGCTCTGTGACTTCCAATACTGGGTAAGAAAAGGCCAGGCAGCTCCCACCTGGTTTTCATGGAATGCTCCCTCTGGGGACACTCCCTGTCGGAAATGAGCCTTCATGCCACATGGAGAGCCCACATAGAGGGGCTCTGTTGACAGACCCAGCTGTGCACAGCCTCTGAGTCATCCTAGCACAAGGACCAGATGATAACATGTGAGTGAAGGAGCCTCCATATGACTCCAGCTCCCAGTTGTCTGAGTGTCCTCAAGTGAAGCCCCAAACATTGTGGAACAGAGACAAACCATCCCCTTTGTTCCCTGCATGAATTCCCAACCCACATAATCTGTGAGCCTAACAAAATGGGCATTGTTTTACACCACTCAGCGTGGGGTGGTTTGTTACGCAACATTAGTGACTCAAACACTCCCCCAATGCATAAAATAAGTAAGCATACACACACACACACATGCACACACACACACACGCATCTTCACTCCTGGTGGAGAATGGGACAAACGTTAAAGAAGAAAGATCAGCTCACCAGCTCTCTCTGCATCCCAGTTTCTTCATCCATCAGGTGATAGGGAAAAAAGACTCTGTGCTCCCAAAGGCCCTCCCTGCTCTAACACCCTGCCTCTGTGATCTTCCCTCGCTTCCCTTCAGTTAAGCCTGGTTGAAACCCTTCATTTTCTCTGAGGTTGACATCGCTGACAACTTCCCTGGACTAGTTGCACTTTAGAAAGCCTTGGAGCCTAAAGGGAAAGGAACAAAGCTTTGATGGTGGAATTTCAGAGCCAGTGGATTATTTTTTTTTTTCAAGAGATGGGGAGAAGTGGTTATAAGTCTTGAAATTAATAGTATCGGTGTATCATTATTACATAAATGAATTCTATGATATACAGTGGTTGTTATTGTACATGGAGTGTTACCATGTGTTGATGCTCACTTTGGGCTAAGTATTCTTCTAGGTATTGAACATGCATTATCCTATTTAAACCTCACAGCAAGAAATTCCCTAACCCCATCATGAGCGGTACCTGTCCTGGCACCACGTTAGGGAATATAAAATGTCTGTCACGTGGAGATGTGAAGATGCCTGAGAATTCTGCACAGAATGTTGGTTTTAAAATTTGCTGCAGCAAAACACGTTCCATACTCTGAATTGAGGGGTTCTCCTGACAAAATTGGATCATATTAATGTCTTCATTTGCAGGGGAACTATGTTAATGCAGAGCGCTTTCAATTTTCCTCCCATAATTTTCATTTAAAAATCTTTGATGTCCACTCCCACTTGCTGGTGAAGAAAATCAGTTCTAGCTCAAAGGGAAAGCAAATGTTACAGTAATTATGAGAATGAACTCGAGTTGGACCTAGGTACCAAAAAATGAACAAAATGAGTCTGCCGTTTACTGGGGCATGACCTTGGACTTGTCACTTAACTGTTCCAAAGCTTAATCCTGTTGTCTGTAATGTGGGGTAATTATAGCTCCTCTCTTACAGGGTTGCCTTGGCATTGAGGAGATTATGTATTCAGCACAATGCCTAACACATGTAAATAGTTCATAAAAGTTTGCTGCTTTTGGCCAGGCACGGTGGCTCATGCCTATAATCCCAGCACTTTGGGAGGCCGAGGCAGGCGGATCACGAGGTCAGGAGATCGAGACCATCCTGGCTAACACTGTGAAACTCCGTCTCTACTAAAAATACAAAAAATTAGCCGGGTGTGGTGGCGGGCACTTGTAGTCCCAGCTACTCGGGAGGCTGAGGCAGGAGAATGGCGTGAACCTGGGAGGCGGAGCTTGCAGTGAGCCGAGATCGAGCCACTGCACTCCAGCCTGGCTGACAGAGCAAGACTCCATCTCAAAAAAAAAAAAAAGTTTGCTGCGTTTACTAATAATCCACTCATACATCATGGTAGGCAAATTCAAGAGAGATGGCAATTTCCAAAGTAATTTTGACCTGCTAGAGGAATTTTTAGAAAAAAGGAAAATTGTGTGTGCATGCATGAACATCTGAGTTTTGCAAGCTAGATAACTTCTTCCAGTAATACTTCCATATTGTTCATTAACTTTCCACTTTTCTTTTCTGATATAAAAATACCCTGCAGAAAAGTAATACACTGATTGGGAAAAAACATTTGGAGAAGAACAAAAATAAATTCTAATCCTTAGGTAAGTTACTTATCTTCTCTAAACCTTCTTGCAGACATATATAAAGTGCTCAATAAATGTTTGGTGAAGAAAATTCTAAAAATTATACTAATATCTTTTTCATTTTAGGATTAAATGAGATATAAAATGAAGGTACTATTCACAGTTACTAGTTGGCAAATGTTAGTTTTCTTTATTTTTCTCTGAGCAGCAAAGTAAGACCCCATCTCTACAAAAAAAAAAAGAAACTCCAAATTTGATCAGTTCTGTTCATTCCTGATGAATTTTAATTCTCTATTTATCATACAGATAACAGTGTTTTAGCTGTCAGAGAAACTGAACAGGCTGCACAGGAATTAACCTAAGAGGTAGCTGTGTCTGCTTTTATCACTGACACACACACACCCCTTGAATATAGTGTCTCATAACCATGAAGTCTGAGATGGTCTTGGAATCATTAGACTCCCTTCCTCTGGAGATGAATTTAGATATCTATATCTCCCTGAAAGAAAATCATTTGTTTCATCTTTAAAATTAAGGAAGGGAGGATGAAGGTTCCAGTGGTTCTTTTTTAATGCTCAGCAATTTCTACTCTTCCACTTAGAAGCAACTAAATTCCCATCACATGACTCATCTTCTTGGCATAAATCAGGTGACCAATCTAAAAGCCCCAGTGTGTCAGCCATTTCCTAGGTAACCAACCCCAGGTGACTTTAATGGATGGCCCATAACAGACAGAAATCAGCCAGAGATAGGAAAGACCTGTTGTTTTGAGCTTTTTCTCAATACTTTTAAATAATTAAAAACACCATCAAGAAGCTAATCCATAGAAAAAATGATATGTAAAATATGATTGCATAGTGCTTTTCTGCCTTCATTAATTCATTCTAGATGGGAAAGAACCATTTACTCCAAGCGTTACTTGTCCTAGAAGAAATTTCTTCCAACCTTTGATGTGAAGTTAGAATTATCACACCAGATCTTGTTAAGGGAGTGAGTTTCAAATGAGCCTGAGCTAATTATTTGCAGCAGTAGTGACCTCTAAGTTTCCTTTTAATCTGAAAAGTTAAACTAACTCTTTTGGGGGTGCACATTGGCTCGAATTTAGTAACTCAAGTAAGTTTAAAAGTTAGGGTCATCCATTAGGGAATCAGTCCTCAGTGACTCTTTGGTCCAACACTTACCAGTTGCATGACTTTTGGAAACGATGCATAATCTTTTTAAGACCCTATTTATTCATCTGTAAATGGGAATAATAAAAATTAGTTGTATCCTGTCGCAGTGCTGGGAATCAGGAAATTCAGATAAAGCACAGAATACAATACCAGCCGCATAGTAAACACTTAATAAAGGTTAGAAATAAGTGAACAAAAGAATAATCATCTTCTTATATGTAAATACTTACTAAATGTCAGCCACCAGACTAAAACACTTACACGAAAATGCTAGAGCTATAAGAATTAAATGGCTCCTGAATTGAAAGAAAGAAAATAATTAACCTGAGAATATTGGCAGCAGCATCATAAACAGCAAACATACCTTGAGCACCCTCGATTAATAAAACAGTGGAGTACAAGGAGACAGCATGGACTTTAGAATAAGAGAGAAGCACATCTAGATCCTCCTTCTCTCTTACAAGCCATGTGGCCATTACTAAAGTAAATTAAGACAAAGAATAGGCCAGAAGAATCCCTGAGCAGAAAAAGCCAGTTAGGCCTCATAAGTGACCTTAACCTTGCTTGATTTGCAAACAGAAGCAAAACTTAACTTCGAGCTATTTCTTTTGCATGCCTATATTAAGTAAAACCAGAACTTCAGCTCAACCAACCAGAAGCAGCCAATGATTTATAATTAGATAACTAGGAACTTTTCAGGGAGATAGACCAAATAAGGCAACTTTATAACCAATTAAATATTTAACCAATTAAATATTTTCTTTCTATTATTTCTGCATTCACTCTACAAAAGCCTCTTTTGGTTCAGGGCATCCTGATTCATGAACTGCTTTTTGCTCTAATAAACTCTTTTTTTAAAAAAAAAAAAGTTATTATGGGCCAGGCACGATGGCTCACACCTGTAATCCTAGCACTTTGGGAAGCCAAGGAGGGTGGAATCACCTGAGGTCAGGAGTTCGAGACCAGCCCGGCCAACATGGTGAAACTCCATCTCTACTAAAAATATAAAAATTAGCTGGGCGTGGTGGTGGGTGTCTGTAATTCCAGCTACTCGGGAGGCTGAGACAGGAGAATCGCTTGAACCTAAGAGGCAGAGGTTGCAGTGAGCCACGATCATGCAATTGCACTCCAGCCTCACCAACAGAGCAAGACTCCATCTCAAAAAAAAAAAAAAAAAAAAAAAAAAAAAAAGATACTGTGTCTCTGTTTACCTTTTAACACCACGGAAAAGCAACCTGCCCTCTCATCTTCAAAATGAGTAAGTTCATCAGAGCTCACAGTTGCTATCAACATAAATGATTCAGCAATGTTAACCAAAAAAGCAATTCATTAGAAGTACAACAGATGCTTACAGGGTCAATGCAAAACTGGAAGAAGAACAGTTTGGAAAACTGGTAAAGGTTTGCAAAGACACCAGAGGGTTAAGTGGAAGGAACCATAGAAAAACCACATAGCAGCTGCTGGCATGAATAACCACCTCCAACTAGCCCTATGTTGTTGGGTTCCTGGCTCAAAATTCGAAGTTCTCAGTTGTGACAGCTATGTCACTCACAAGCTGCTGCTATCTCTGCCAGGATAAAAGAGGCCTCTTCAGTCTCCATCACTGGAGGTAGATATTACCTCCACCATGACCGTACTATTGAGCTATTCCAGAAATGTGCAGTTGGGTACCCAAATGACAAATGCCCACTCTGATAGGAATAATGTTACAAAATCTTTGTTGTGAGAACAAAGGAACTAAGATCTTTGAAATAGATCACAATGCCCAGCATATAGTTGGCACCCAAGTGGAACTGTTAAATTGGAAGCTATTATTATTAGACGTTGAAAGTATATCCTCTGGAACAAAACAAACTTTAATCGACCACTTATTCTGTGCCTGGATCTATGCTAGGCTGAGGATACACTAGTGATAATATAAGTTAATATGGTAATACATCTCCTTACTGTGTAATGAGGATGGCAGATGAGTGAATAATAATAACTGGAAATACCTGTGATGAGGACTATAGGTTCTGGGTAGGTGTAAAGTGCTCTGGACGCAAGGAGAAACTATTCATTCTCTCTGTGTATCTGGAGGAAGTGGAAAGGAAAAGGAATTCCTCACTGAAATGGTGGCATTTGAGTCTGGAAGACATTCTTTTCTCCAACTATCCTGATGCTTCACATTCTCCAAGATTCTGCTTCTAATGAAACAGCTTTGACTCTGAATCCAAAATGCAGGTTGTAGGATTTGAATAGAGAAAAGCTCTGGAATGAAATCCTCCAGGTGGGCAAGAGGTTGTCAACCAAAGGAATTCTTACATGAAATGTTTTTCTTCATTATTTTCCATAGTTACCCCTTCCTCATGTCCAAGGGGACACTCTTCCTCCATTATTCATTATCTGGCCCAAAGGAAAGGTTTTCCTTTCACTGTTCGTTATTTCAATGGATGGCCAACTTTTATTGAGGAGGTGACCCAGGCAGTATTTCCTAGTGATTAGGCACTGGGTTATGGAATCAAGCAGATCCCAATATAGATCTTACCTTTGCCTTAATTCTCCAGGTAACCTTCGGCAACTCATTGAAACTGTTTGACCTTATGTAAACCAAAGCTGACCATAGTAAGCACAATCACAGAACTGGAGTGACACCGCACACATATACCTTTGCAAGATAATAGGTATTCAGTAAATGTTAGCTATATTCTTACTATAATCAGAATTGGGAGAAAGTGCTTTTTATCAGCAAGTAGAAGAGGGGATTGCAATTTTCAAAGCCTTTACTAAATAGTAGCAGAGACAGGAAGGAAATAAAGAAAATTCAAGAAATACTACAAAGTTCGACATAATCAAGGGCAGGTTTCTGATTCTTCCATAGCTAGCTCATTCCATTTCACTGTTTCTTCAGGACCTACGACAGTGGCTGGTACCAACAAGGTGTTCTATAAATATCTTGTGAATTATTTAATTAATGGCATCTGTTTAATCAGTCAATGAGGTTTACCCCATGACCATCACCTTGCCACTCCAGGAGATACCATTTATATATGACACACATAGATGACAACATCGTGCTTCAGAGCAGTGGTTCTCAAACTTAGCTGGACTTTGAAACCACCTGAGAACATTTCAAAAATCCTAATGCCTAGGTCCCACCCCTAGGGAATTCTGATTTTAATTGATATGTAGCATGGGCTAGGCATCAGAATTTTCTAAAACTCCCAGCAGATGATCATGTGCGGCAAAGTGTGAGCACCGATTCTCCAAGAGGCCATTGTATTCTGTGTGAGTTTTGAGCCCTGGTCTGTACAACAGAGTGGTCCACACCGCTCAAGTTCTGTGTTCCCTAAGACATACAGTGAGGGGGGAACATGGGTGATTCTGCTAAAGGTGGCAGTTTATTGTGGTAAAAGAATACAGAATGGAAGTTGTTTAAACCTAGGTTTAAGTCTAGGCAAACGTATTACTAAATTGTGTAACCTTGGGCAACCCACCCTGGAGGCCTCAAAATTCAATGAGCTATAATAGAGTGCCTGGAGGAAGGGTGGGACCTGTATGAAAGATGATTATATCTATGTCTTCCCTGACTGTTCAAGAGTAATCACTTTTGTACCCTTCTCTCACATTCAGAGTCTGCACCAGAGGTTGGAAAAGTGCCTATGTATAGATCAAATCCAATTGGCCACTTGCTTTTGTAGCTAGTTTTACTGGAACATAGTCATGCCTATTCCTTTATATATTATCTAAGGCTGTTTTTGCTCTACAGCATTAGAGTTGAGTATCTACAACAGAGACCATATGGCCCACAAAACCTAAAATATTTACTATCTGGCTCTTTAAAGAAAAAGTGTATTGGTCTCTGGTCCAATCACCAATTAATTACATTTTATATGCTACTTTGGATAATGAAGATGGATTGTTATTTGCAAACCCCCTCCCCCGTTAAGATTTTAAGGTCTTTGAAACTGAACCACCTCCTGCAGTTTTTCCCTAATAGTACTATTTGACATTCACTTCCTGCTTTCCAAAGAACTTTGATATGTGAGCTATCATTTCCCACAGAGTCTAGTCTAGTGTTGGGCAAACAGAAGACACTCAAAAAATATTTTACTGATTGATTGCATTTCTCTGATTTATTTCAAGTTCTAAGCAATTGGGCCAGTGGTTATTTTTGTCATTGATGTTAAGGGTCATGAAAACCATCACAAATCCCTATATCAAGTGGGAATGGAATATTTCAAACCATTGTACAAAATGGATTGTTATTACATTTCTGGTTGTCACTAGTTTTTATCCAAACCCTTTATAAGCATTATGTGATTCTTCCCACAAGAGACAGAGCCATTTCTGTAAAAGAGAACAATGTTTAGAATCAGACTTGAGTTAAGACTCCAGCTTGGCCTTTTCCTAGCTTCAAGGCCGTGGCCATATGGCTCATGTCTTAGTATCATTTAGAATCTAGACAAGTCAGAAACATGTTCTTTCCTCCACTTGTATGTCTAAGTTTCACTTTTCTACCTATCAGCTCCACAGAAACAATAGTTTAGACTGGGAAATTGCTTTTTATAGTTGTAGATGAGGTTTAGACTGGGAAATTGCTTTTTATAGTTGTAGATGAGGGCACGGACCAATCTAAAGTCAGGTAAACTTGCTAAGAAAAAACAATGATGAGAAGCAAATGTTCAAACATGAAATACTCATGCCTGTCTGTGAAGCTCTGGAGTGATGTGACATGTCTTGTCACTGGTTTGACCTACTTACAACTCTTCTATGTAATAAATGACAAAGCACTCGATACTGTTAAATATTCTACTTCAGCACAATGTATAGTTAATTTTAATGATGCTCTCTAGTTATTTTATGCTTGTTATTATATGAGCCAGGAGGGCCTCTTTTTTTTTTTTTTAATCATTGAGTTAACCAGGGAGATTTCATTATAAACGTAAGCTGAACATGGTCCACTGCTTAATGTTGTGGCTAAGAGTGATCCACGTTGAGATTTTTACATTGAATATTTATGTAATTATTTTTGGTTAATTCTATCTTTATTCCAGGTATTGGATGCTTCTTTGTTGGAATCTTGTATTTATTTTGTGCTCTATTTGTGTGTTGTTAACAATGTGGATAATTTATAAAAGAGCCCCAGACATGGATTATTCTGCAGTTAGAAAACAAGATCAAGTGTGGAATTAAAGAAAATAAGTTGGAAAAGATGGTTTCCAACTATATAAGGAGATGGTATAGTCACTAGCAGTTCTGTACACTATTGCAGGTAACCAAAGATATGAATTATCTTCTCTACAATCCTAGATGTGGCAGCAGAAATGAATTCTTATATTTATATTTGAATATGGAAGAATATTGTATTAGGAGAAACTCACTTCAAATTAAATAATGAACCATAAGAACTTAAATGTGGTTACTCTTCAGAACCTTAAACATGATAATGCTGACTAATAGATAACAATAATCTCTCCATGGTACCTATCTTACTTCATTTGACCATTACAATGTTGTTATAAAGTAGCCATGGCAGGCATGAAAATTTCTATTTTATAGAAAAAGAAACTCTCCTCAAGGAAAGCCAGAGCTTTCCCCACGCATATATACCTGGGCTTTAAGCCCATAGCTGACTTCAGGTCCTTTGAGGTTTCCAACCCTTTATATATGAGCCATCCTCTGCTCCCCAGAAGAGGGGCAAGCCTGGTCCTAAGGATTTTTCTGTGCTCGCTCTTCCTACTTCATTCTAGGTTCTGACTTTCTTTCTTTCTTTTTTCTTTTTTTGAGACAGAGTCTCGTTCTGTCGCCAGGCTGGAGTACGGTGACATGATCTCAGCTCATTGCAACCTCCACCTCCCAGGTTCAGGCTATTCTCCTGCCTCAGCCTCTCGAATAGCTGGGAATACAGGCGTGTGCCACCACATCCAGCTAATTTTTGTATTTTTAGTAGAGTCGGGGTTTCGCCATGTTGGCTAGGATGGTCTCAATCTCCTGACCTCGTGATCCGCCTGCCTCTGCCTCCCAAAATGCTGGGATTACATGTGTGAGCCAACGCACCAGGTCTGGTTCTGACCTTCTCTTTGGTTTTGTCTCACAGCTCTAATCTGCACTTCCCCCTTGGGAATCATCACACGGTTTAACTTCCCTCTTTGTGACTAGATTTCTGGCTCCTGATTGAAGGTAACTACCCAGTCCCATGAAACTCTGTTCCTAGACCCATATCTATTCCTCTTTTTTGTTGTTGTTATGTTTTGTTTTGTTTTTTGAGACAGGGTCTCTCTCTGTCACCCAGGCTGGAGTGAAGTTGCGCTATCTCAGCTCACTGCAAACTTCGCCTCCCAGGTTCAAGCTATTCTCATGCCTCAGCCTCCCGAGCTAGGATTACAGGTATGCGCCACCACACCTCGCTAATTTTTTCTATTTTTAGTAGAGACGGGGCTTCACCATTTTGGCCAGGCTGGTCTCGAACTCCTGACCTCAGGTGATCCACCCGCCTCAACCTCCCAAAGGGCTGGGATTACAGGCGTGAGCCACTGTGCCTGACCCTAAATCTATTCCTCTTTACCCTTGGCAACCAGAGCCTGTTCTAAGAATGTATTTGGGTACTGCAAAGAATCTGTGCATGCCATTTACTCTGGGGGCCTCTGTTTAGAGACCAGCGGTAGAGACTAGAGTTCTTGCTAGGGTCTGGGGACAGAAGAGAGGAAGACTATGAAGAGAATGTCCTCCATCTGGCTGGCTACAAAAACTGGTTTTAGATAGGAACAAGACAGACAGGTTTCTGTTTGTTTGTTTGTTTGTTTGTTTGTTTGTTTGTTTTCCTTGAGATGTGAGCAAAATCAAAGCTACTTTGGGACCCAGGATGGTTATTCATTCAAGAAATATTTAATGAGCAACTACTATGTGCCAGACACTATTAATAGACACTGAAGATACATCAATAAATGAAACAGAAAAAAATTCCTGCCCTCAAAGAGCTTGTATCCTATGGGGAGATGCAGATAATAAACATATAAACAAAAACATATAAGTTTGAGAGTGCCAATCCTTGAACATGGTATATGTTTCTATTTATTTTGTTATTTTATGTACTGCAGTAATGTTTCACAATTTTAGTGATTATATCTTGACTTTTATTAAATTTAGTTTTAAGTATTTTGTGTTTTTAAAGCAATTATACATGGAATTTTAAAATTTCATTTTCCAGTTGTTTGCTGCTAATATATAAAAATAGTTCCTTTTTATATTAACATTCTATACAACCTTATCAAATTTATTTATTAGTTTTAGTAGTTGTGGATTCCTTGGACTTTTCTATGTAAATTACCATGACATCTACAAATAGAGACAATTTTGCTTCTTTCTTTCTGGTCTTTATGTCTTTTATTTCCTTATCTTGCCTTATTATAAAGGTTAAGACATCCAGTACAATATAAATAGAATGGTAACAGTGGACATGCTTGTCTTAATCTTAGGGGGAATGATTCAATATTTTACTATTAATTATGATGTTAGATATACAAGTTCTTTATAATGTCCTCTAACAGATTGAGGAAGTTCTCTTCTGTTCCTAGTTTGTAGAGAGATTTTTATCATGACTAGGCATTGACTTATGTTAAATGTGTTTTTGCATCTGTCGAAATAATCATATGGTATCTTACTCCATTGGTGCTGCTGTAACAATATACTACATACTGAGTAAGTTATAAATAATTGAAATGTATTTTTTATGGTTTTGAAGGCTGGGAAGTCCAAGATCAAGGCACCAGCAGAAAATGTGGTACTTATAAACAATGGAGTACTATTCAGCCATAAAAAAGAATGAGATTCAGTAATCCGCAACAACATGGATGGAACAGGAGGTCATTAGGTTAATTGAAATAAGCTAGGCACAGAAAAACAAACATCACATGTTATCACTTATTTGCGGGATCTAAAAATCAAAACAATTGAACCCGTGGAGACAGAGATTAGAAGGATGGTTACCAGAGGCTGGAAAGGGTAGTGGGGTGGGTGAGGGGGAGGTAGGTATGGATAATGAATACAAAAATAGAGTGAAAAAATAAGGCCTAGTATTTGATAGCACAACAGGGTGACTATAATCAGTAATAATTTAATTGTACATTTTAAAATAAATAAGAGTATAAATAGATTGTTTGTAATACAAAAGATAAATGCTTGAAGGAATGGATACCCAATCTTCCATGATGTGATTATCACACATTGCATACCTGTATTAAAAGATCTCATGTATTGCATAAATATATATACCTATTATGTACCCACAAAAATTAAAAATTAAAAAAGAAAGACACCAGCAGGATTGGTGTCTGGTGAGGGCTGCTCTCTGCTGCTAAGACGGTGCCATATTGCTACATCCTCTGGAGAGGAGGAACTGTGTCCTCCCATGATGGAAGGGACAGAAGGGCAAGAGAACTCTCTCTCTTCAACCTTGAGCCCTTTTATAAGGGTGCTAATCCCATTCATGAGGGTAGAGCCTCTCAAAGGCCACACCTCCTAATACTGCTGCATTGGGAATTAAGTCTCAACATGAATTTTGGAGGGGACATCATTATTCAAACTATAGCATATGGCTTTCTAAATTTAGTCTGTTAATATATGAATTACACCAAATCTTTAAACACAGATACATTTTAAAAAGTCATAGAATAAATGCAACAAGGAAAACAAACAAGTTAAAGGGAGTAAGAGTAATGAGATGCACTGTTTCAAACAGCGTGGGCAAGGAAGGTCTCTCTGAAGAGAAGACATTTGAGTAGAGACCGAAATAAAGTGAGAGAGCAAGCTATGCAAAAGCATGAAGGAAAGAGCATTCCAGACATCAAATGATAGAAGATGGCTTTGAAGACATAACCAGGGGCTGATTATACAAGCCCTTGGGGGCCATGAGACGGAGTTGGGGATTTTATCTTGAGTGTCATGGGAAGTCATGAATAGGTTTTAAGCAACAGAGCTCCATGAACTGATTAATGGTTTTAAAAGAACATTCCACCTATTATGTGGAGAATTGAATGTGGGTGGCAAAAGCGGATGAGAAAATTAACCAAGAGATTATTTTATTATGCCACAGGGATTATAGCATGGTGGGTGCTATAATTAGAAAAGTAACAGATGAAGTCATCAAAGGTGATCTATATGGGATCAATTTTGAAAGCTGAGACAATAGGCTTATGCTGTTGCTGTTACATTGGACCTGGGTTAAGGAAAAGTGAGAATGCAAGAACTCCTTGGGTTTGAGCCTGAACAACTGGATATATGATGGTGCCACTTACTGAGGAGGAGAAGAGGATTGAATAAAGAACCAAGATGTGTGCTTTTGAAATTTAGACATTCACCTATTTGGGTGAATCCAAATAGGCCAGGCTGGGTGGCTCATGCCTGTAATCCCAGCACTTTGGGAGGCCAAGGAGGGCAGATCATGAGGTCAGGAGTTCGCGACCAGCCTGGCCAACATAGTGAAACCCCGACTCTACCAAAAAATACAAAAAATTAGCCAGGAGTGCTGGCACACGCCTGTAATCCCAGCCACTCAGGAGACTGAGGCAGGAGAATCACTTGAACCCGGCAGGCGGAGGTTGCAGTGAGCCAAGATCATGCCATTGCACTCCAGCCCAGGCAACAGTGTGAGACTCTGTCCCCACCCCCCAACCCCCCCCAAAAGAAAAGATAGCAATCCAAAATAGATGGCTGAGTATACAATTCTGGAGCTCAGAGAGGAAATGAGAGTATAAAAAATTGGAGAGTCATAAATGTGATCCCATGGGGCTAAGTGAGTTCACAGAGGAAATGAAAGTAAATAAAACTGTGCACTAGGAAATACCAATGCATAAAGAGTCAGGAAGAAGAGGAAGACCAGCTAAGGAGGTTGAGATGGAGCAGCCAGTGGAAGAAGAGGAAAATTAAAAGAGTTAGGGTGGCACAAAAGCCAAGTGAAGAAAAAGTGTCAAGAAGAAGAGAGTGCCCAATGTTCCTGAGAGGCCAAGTGAGATAAAGATCACAAAAGCGGCCATGGAATTTGGCTGGAAGACACAGGAACCTTGAAAAGAGCAATTTCAGTGCAGACAGTGTTGTAGGAGTGCTAAATAGAATAAATTAAAGAAGAGAGAGATTTGGAGTGGCTTGGTTGAGTGGATTGCAGTCAGCAAGTATAGACAAATTTTTTACAAGTTTCATTTTAAGGGAGAGCAAAGAAATTGCTCAGGCCAGGAATGAGAAACAAAATCTAAGGATAGTTTAATTTTGTGTAAATATCATAGATATTTCTTACATGTATACATATGGTGGGAATGAGTCAGTAGAAAGGGAGAAGTTGATGATGCAAGAAATAGATGGGATAATTGAAGGAGCAGCAAAGTCAGCAAATCGTGGGGGCAGGATAAGGTCTAATGTGCCACAGCCAGGACTGGCCTGATTCAGGAGCTGGACCAATTTGCCCACTGTCACAGCAGGGGAAGCAGGGTATGGGGGAAGCGATGAAGATTGGTGAGTAGATTAGAAAGTGTCAAGATGAGGCAGTTCTCTTCTGCTTGATTCCATCATCACGGCACCATAAAGACATGAGGTCATCAGCTGGAGTGAAGAGGCTAGAGCAGGGATGGAAGTTGAGAAGAGAGAAGTTATTAAATAGCAGTCTTAAGGGTTAGAGAATGAGTGGATTAGGAAAATCTAGGACTGCCAGACAATGCTAAAGTCCACCTAGGAGTCATTATCATAATTTGAATTGTGATCCACCAGCTCAGTCCCCATATGCATTTTTCTACCTCCGTGTTCTGCTACTTAGGCATAGAAGCAGAGGAGGACAGCAGAGTATATGGGGTCTAGCATGCTCGTTTGATGGAGGTGAAGGGTGGGAGAAGGAAAGCAGGGTGTAGTACACTGCCGTTATTGCATTGCTCTAAAGAAATACCCGAGGCTGGGGAATTTATAAAGAAAAGAGGTTTAATTGACTCATGGTTCTGCAGGCTGTACAAGCATGGTGCTGGCATCCACTGGGCTTCTGGGAAGGCCCCAGGGAGCTTTTACCCACGGTGGAAGGTGGAACAGGAGCAGGCAAGTCACATGGCAAGAGCGGAAGCAAGATGGATGGGGTGGGGGTGTCACCCACTTTTAAACAACCAAATCTTGAGAGAATTCACTCACTATCTGAGGACAGCACCAAGCTATGAGGGATCTGCCCCCATCACCCAAAAACCTCCCACCAGGTCCCACCTCCAACACTTGGGACTATATTTCAACAGGAGATTTGGATGGGACAAATATCCAAACAGTATCACAGGGTATACACCAGGGATTGATTGCAGGGATGGACAATGTTATCTACACCGAGTAAAGGAGGGAGTGACAGATAGTAAAACACTGTTAGGGTTGACGGAGGCCCTGGTGAGGTTGGAGGTGTGTGTTTGTGGGGATAGAATGGTAGTCAAGTAAATGAGCTGGAAAAACAGGAAGTGGTTATCAAAGCAAATGAGATGTTTAAATGAAGAATTTGAAGATAGCCGAGCTATGGCTAATGACAAGGTCTATGATTTAACCATGTGAAAAGATCCTTGACATTTGGGGGTGGAATGAGATCCTACGAGGTGAGAAGGGTATGAAATGGAGGACAGAGGCCTGGGTGCTGGGCAAATCACTTACCTAAATGTTGCTCTTGAAGTCTTGTATTTACACATCCTTCCCCTCTGATATCTGCACAGCTTACTCCCTATCAACTAGCTTTCTCTTACAGTTCTCACTGCTGTCCATCCCCTGCCCACCCTGCTTTATTGTCTGTGCTATTTATCACCAGCCAACATGTTACATGGGCATTTGTTATTTGTCACCATGCCCCACCATGAAGTCAAGGACTTTCTGTGCTTTCATTCACAGCTGTAGCTTCAGAATGGAGGGACAGTAGGTAGAAGAGACGGTGACAATCACTGAGGACACGTATCTCACCTCCTAGCCTCCTGGTGACCCTTGTGCAGATACAGAATATCAACGAGCTCTTTTTTTTTTTTTTTTTTTGAGACAGAGTCTCTCTCTGTCGCCCAGGCTGAAGTGCAGTGGCGTGATCTCATGTCACTGCAACCTCCACTCCCAGGTTCAAGTGATTCTCCAGCCTCAGCCTCCTGAGTAGCTGGGACTACAGGCATGCGCCACCATGCCCAGCTAATTTTTGGATTTTTAGTAGAGATGGGGTTTCACCATTCAACCAGCTCTTGAAAGGGCTGCCAAGGAGGCAGTGCTCTCAGAGGCATTAGGGTAATGAGGGGAAGGGGATGCAGAGAGAAGGGATTACAGCTTTAGAATTTGTGAGTGTGCATCAGAGGACAAGGTAAATGGGTATGAAATTGGGTCAAATTAGTGAATGTGTGGGGTGGTCTAGAGATGTGCCCAGGGGGCCAGGGATGGCCAGAGAGGCCTAGGAGTGTGATGGTGACTGAGGTAACAGGGATGGAAGGCATCATGGGATCAGTGCTAGTGGTCTTGTACGGGAAGGTGAGTTTGCAATTTTCACTATGGACTCCCTTTAGGGATTGCCCTAGTGAGTAGTTTGTTGTGGGGAGGCAGATGGTCTTACCAGGAGTTCAAAGACTTCTGGGGGTCTCTTTAAAGAGTGTGGTAGGTTACATCATGGGGTGTCTCTCCCCACCTCTGCATAGAACCCTGCACCCAAGAACTGGCAATTTGGAAAGAATTGAGTCACTCCACAGTTGCATGGATCTAGGCATCCTCATGACATCACAGCAATGACAGCTACAGGTAGGGATCCTTTAAGCAGATGCCAAAGCAGTAGAGGCAAATGAGGAGAGCTGAAGCAGGAGAGGAGATATGGGATGGAGAGCTTCCGAGTCACTGCAATTTGAGAATCATGGTGAAGTCATCCCAGCCTCTAATAGGTAGATAAGGCCAGAAGTCATAGAAGTGACAGACAACAGTTCTAATATCAAGCCTCTCTACATCACTTTCTCTGTATAACCAAAACCTTTTTTTTTTCTTTTTTTTTGGAGATGGAGTCTCATTCTGTCGCCCAGGCTGCAGTGCAATGGTGTGATCTTGGCTTACCGCAACCTCTGCCTCCCGGGTTCAAGCAATTCTCCTGCCTCAGCCTCATGAATAACTGGGATTACAGGCATGCACCACCACACCTGGCTAATTTTTGTATTTTTAGTAGAGATGGGGTTTCACCATGTTAGCCAGGCTGGTCTTGAACTCCTGACCTCAGGTGATCTGCCCGCCTCAGTCTCCCAAACTGCTGGGATTACAGGCATGAGCCAACGCACCTGACATCCAAAACCTTTCTCTATATAACTCACTTCTTGCTTTCCCTCTTTAAAAAAATGGCAAAATTTGCCTTTTTAAAAAGCTTCCCTAATGCAGAGTTTCTTAAGTACTGAGATTTCAAAGGATATCTCAGTTTGCAGAGTTACCCAGAGTTGAGATGTCAAAAAGTTAGAAAGTCAAGAATCATGGCACTTTCCCCTACAATTGTGCAAGTTATTCTTCACCAGGGCACACTTTACCAACTTCAAGAAACATCCTTTACTAATTTGAACAAAGACATTAGATGGGCAAATGGCAGTCCTGAGTCAATCAATTTGAAAGCAGAATCAGAGCATATGTTGAAGAGGCAACAGAGTACTTTTCATCTGTATAACATGGGAGGACGTGGATTCATTTATGGGAGGAGACATTCAGGTTAAAAGTGGGGAAAGAGACCCAGGGATTTCTTTCTAAGGAGTCATTGAGAACAGCCTTTTCAGCAAGTCTTCCAAAAGACAATGTATGTTGTTTTAACGTCAATTCTGCCTGGGGTAGAGGGTCTCTCAAGGTCTCTTCTAGCCCTAGTAATATATTTGCTTTTGTGTTTTCATTCCTATTCAGAGGGTTAGAATCATAACCTTATTTATCTTTGTGTGTCCAGGACTTGGCCAAGAGTGAACACTCAGAATATTTTTGGGTGGCCTGGTGAGGTGGCTGAGGCCTGTAATCCCAGCACTTTCGAGGCTGAGGTAGGCGGATCACCTGAGGTCAGGAGTTCCAGACCAGCCTGGCCAACATGGTGAAACCCCATCGCTACTGAAAATACATAAAAAAAAAAAAGTTAGCCAGGTGTGATGGCAGGTGCGTGTAATCCCAGCTATTCAGGAGGCTGAGGAAGGAGAATTGCTTGAACCCAGGAGGTGGAGGCTGCAGTGAGCCAAGATTGCACGACTGCACTACAGCCTGGGTGACAGAGTGAGACTCCATCTCAAAGAAAAAATATATATATATATACACATATATATATGTTTTTGAAGTAAATTGTATAAAATGCTGCATGTAATAATGTGAAGTTTCACTTCTCAGGCAATTCTGAGCTCAGAACTTTAAAACCACAAAATCAGAATAGCTACTAAGCCTAACTAATCTTTTTTGAAAGCACTATATGAATTATATTATTTAATACTCATTGCATTGCTCATAAGGTACAGTCACCTCCCTTTTACTAATAACAACAATAATAAATGCTTACATAGTACTTAATACATGCCAGCATGTGGTTCTAGGTATTTCTACTCAAGTTGGAAGAACACACCTTTGACGGAGGTACCATTATTATCCCCATGAAACTGATAGCAAAACCGAGTTGTAGGAAACACATTTAGTAAGTAGCAAAGCTTATAACCTCTCTGGCTCCAACATCCATGTGATTAACCCATCAATTTTGCTGTCTGCCCAAATTATTTGGTCAAAATAGTAACCATACCAGGATCTTTCAAAACATCTAACCAGTATTTTCTCTGAACTTAGAATCTGAAAAATCAGTGTTCTTTTTTTTTTTTTTTTTTTTGAGACAGAGTCTCACTCTGTCACCCAGGCTGGAGAGCAATGGCGTGATCTCGGCTCACTGCAACCTCTTCCTCCAGCGTTCAAGTGATTCTCCTGCCTCAGCCTCCTAAGTAGCTGGGATTACAGGCACGTGCTAATTTTTGTATTTTTAGTAGAGACGGCGTTTCATCATGTTAGTCAAGCTGGTTTCGAACTCCTGACTTCGTGATCCACCTGCCTCGGCTTCCCAATGTGCTGGGATTACAGGCAGGAGCCACCGAGCCCAGTCAAGATTAGTGTTCTTAAGAGAAGGGAGGGTAACAAGAAATGGGAGAGTGCCTCTATGAATATGTTCAATTCCAACGAAACACTGAAGGAAGAAAAAAATCCCAAGAGTTAGAAATGTTATTTGAAAGCCTGACTGCACATCTTCAATGATCAGTATGCCACCCTCACAGCAAGTGGCTCAAGTATAGATATCCCGTTTGGTCATTAACACCCATTATCTCACTCCCCCTACAGACTTGCCAAATTTACTTTTAACTGCTCTCAGCACTGAGACAGGAGGAGGGCAGGATAATGAGTCTCCACAATGTATAATTATTATAAATGAGCAGAGATAAACTACACCTGTCAAAATAAATGATCAGCATCCAAAATCGCTGGTTTCTCCATTTACTGTTTTGTAAACTTGAGTTATTCACCCTTGCTAATCTCTCCCACTGCTGTTTCCAAGATATTTTTTCCTGATCCGAGCCCCTAGAGTTAGCTCGGAAGGTGCTTGTCACCTCCAAAGTCTTCTGAGGATGAGAGAAAAGCGTGAAGTAAATTGTTCCTGCAGGAAATGAATTACTAAATAACTAGACTTCCCTGAAAGAATGTCAGACATGGGTTGGCTCATTGTGGCTCAAGTCTATCAACAATCAGCCTTTCAATAATACCCCCTTTTTGTTCTTTTCCTATGGTTCTGCCAAGTGACAGAGACAATAGCCACACAGCATAGGAGCCAAAAGCCAATTTTAAGCGTAACTGTATTTAGAAAATGTTCAGCTGACAGTATTTTAGATGCAGAAACACTTATTTCCATACTTATTTCCAATACTTATTTCCAGGAATACTTATTTCTGAAGCTCGGAAGTTCAAATCCAACAGATGAAACTATTGACTGGTTTCCAAGTTTGTCCACGCAGGAGTAAAGTAAAATAATTGTGTACGTGGTTTTTAATGATCGTACACTTACATTTTTTTTCCCCTGAGAATTTGTTTTCTTATTATCCAGGTGTACCATTCAGAATTCTTAGGATGTGAGCAACAGAAGTAAAGAAAGAAGCCTTACTAGAAGGACAATGAGATCACTTAGCAAGTCATAGAGCTGAACAGTCAGATGGGAACCGGGGCCACTCTGAGCATGTCAGACACAGGAACATAGTACTTCCTAGGGGTCCCAATCAGACCAATTTTAGCATCTTCCATTTCCTTTGAGAGAAAATCTGATTGACCCCGATAGGGTTATGCAACTGCAAGGGCGGGTGAGAAGGATACTCTGTGAAAGGTGAGCTAGAACCAGAGAAAGGGTAAACAAACAAACAAAAAAAATATAGCTCTCACCATGGGTTTTGTTTGTGACTTCATACAAGAAACCATTTAGAGACCAGCCTGGGCAACATAGTGAGACCCTGTCTCTATAAGAAAATTTAAAACTTGGCAGGGTGTGGTGCATAGTCCCAGATACTTGGGAGGCTGAGGTAGGAGGATCGCTTAAGCCCAAAAGTTCGAGGCTGCAGTGAGCTGTAATCACGCCACTGCATTCTGGCCTGGGCAACAGAGTGAGACTCTGTCTCCACAAAAAGTTTTAAAATTGGCAGAGTGTGATGCATACCCATAGTCCCAGCTACTTGAGAGACTGAGGCAGGAGGATCGCTTGAGCCTAGGAGGTCGAGGATGCAGTGAGCTGAGATCATGCCACTGCATTCCAGTCTAGGCGACATAGCGAGACTCAGTCTCAAAAAATAAAATAAAATAAAAAGGAAAGAAAAGAAAGAAACTCTCAGCCTTCCAAAATTTAGTCCCTGTTCCAACACACTCTGGCCCAAGACATAAATCCGTACTTCTTTGAGCTCCTGGGTGTCAAGCAGCTCTAAGAAAAGAAAGACAAGCAGTGGTCAGTACATGAAGCTGTTTGGACAAGGCTGAGTCCATGGATTTGCTCTTTGTTGGACTGGCCTGGTGCGATGGTTAATACTGAATGTCAACTTGACTGGATTGAAGAATGCAAAGTATTGATCCTGGGTGTGTCTGTGAGGGGGTTGCCAAAGGAGATTAACATTTCAGTCAGTGGGCTGGAAAAGGCAGACCCACTTTCAATCTGGGTGGGCATAATCTAATCAGCTGCCAACACGGCTAGAATAAAAGCAGGCAGAAGAATGTGGAAAGACTAGACTGGTTTAGTCTTCCAGATTTCATCTTTCTCCTGTGCTGGATGCTTCCTGCCCTCCAACATCAGACTCCAAGCTCTTCAGCTTTGGGACTCGGACTGGCTTCCTTGCTCCTCAGCTTGCAGATAGCTTATTGTGGGACCTCAACTTGTGATCATGTGAGTCAATACTCCTTAATAAACTCCACTTTACCTACACATCTATCCTATTAATTCTGTCCCCCTAGAGAACCCTGACTAATACACCTGGATTCAGTGTTAAGGAGAGTAAAAATTAGCTGGCCTCTATTTACCAAACACCCCTATAAATTAGTCTTTTCCTAAATTGCTATAAAGAAATACCGGAAATTGGATAATGTATTTTAAAAAGAGGTTTAATTGGCTCATGGTTCTGCAGGCTGTACAGGTAGCATGGCTGGGGAGGATTCAATCAACTTTCCACCAGGCGAAGTGGCTCACACCTGTAATCCCAGCACTTTGGGAGGCCCAGGTGAGTGGATCACAAGGTCAAGAGTTCGAGACCATCCTGACCCCAACATGGTGAAACTCCATCTCTACTAAAAATACAAAAATTAGCTGGGCGTGGTGGCATACCCCTGTAGTCCCAGCTACTCTGGAGTCTGAGGCAGGAGAATCATTCGAACACCCGATTCGGAGGTTGCAGTGAGCCAAGACCGTGCCACTGCACTCCAGCCTGGCGACAGAGCAAGACTCTGTCTCCAAAAAAAAAAAAAAAAAAAGAAGAAGAAACTTTCAATCTTGGCAGAATGCAAAGGGGAAGAAGGTACATCTTACATGGTGGGAGCAGGAGAGAGAGAAAGGGGAGGTGCTACAGACTTCTAAACAACCAGATCTCATGAGAACTCACTATCACGAGAATAGCAAGGGGGAAGTCCACCCCCATGTCCAGTCACCTCCCACCATTCCCCTCTTCCAACATTGGGGATTATAATTCGACATGAGACTTGGGCAGGAATACAAATCCAAACCATATCACCCCCATAAGACTACTTACTTAAAGATATCTCTCAGACACCCCCCATCCACTGGTGATCCTGTGGTTCATTTAGCCTTGGGGATGAATCCAAGTGTGATTGATACTCAAAACCTTTAATGATCTGCATGGCAGAGCCTCTTCTACCCCCCAGAATAGGTTCAGCACCTCCTGTGCCAGAAATTACCCCTTTAGTTGCTGGATAATGGAAAGGTCCAATTCTCCAGGGGAGAAGCTGGGTGGTCAGAATAGGAGCAGTAGCACTCAGGGGTCTCAGCATCACAGCTGTTTACCCACCAGCACAGAATGTTTCAGTATTTTAACCATCAGTATGCCTGTTTTGGTGTATATCTGAATATCAGCCTGGTATACAGCCCCTGGAGGACTTAAGCCTGTGGGTCTTTGGACAGATTTAAACAGATTTAAAATCTAGCTAAGAGCAGCCTTAGCCATTGGAATTTTTGACTGAAGAAGGAGAAACAGAGGGGATTAAAAAAAAAAAAAAAGATTTCCTTGGGAGGGGTGCCTTAACCGCACAACCCCTACTATGCCCCAATTCAGCAGGAAGCAGTTAAGAGCAGTCGTCGGCCACCCTCCCCAACAGCACTTGGGTTTTCCTATTGAGAGCAGGGACTGAGAGACAGGAGTAGCTGGATTTCCTAGGTCAACTAAGAATCCCTAAGTCTAGCTGGAAAGGTGACCGCATCCGCCTTTAAACACGGGGCTTGCAACTTAGCTCACACCTAACCAATCAGAGAGCTCACTAAAATGCTAATTAGGCAAAAACAGGAGGTAAAGAAATAGCCAATCATCTATTGCCTGAGAGCACAGCAGGAGGGACAAGGATCGAGATATAAACCCAGGCATTCGAGTCAGCAACGGCAACCCCCTTTGGGTCCCCTCCTTGTTTGGGAGCTCTGTTTTCACTCTATTTCACTCTATTAAATCTTGCAACTGCAAAAAAAAAAAAAAAAAAAAAAAAAGATATGAGACAGAAAAATCCCAGCACCAACCCAATGCTTCCTCCTCCTCCCAGGTGAGGTTTCTCTAGTCTTAGGGACCCTGTCCTTTTCCCTGTAGTTGCAGCCTCTTGATACTCACCTATAGCCCAGTTCGCAGGAGCACTCTGGAGCGCTAGTCTGGGACTAGGTATCAAGCCCTTTCTCTGCTTATCTGAATCTGATGGGTTGCCCCAGTTGGAAAGCTGGGCTCCAGCCCTATTCAGGAGCTTTAGTCCCCTCTGAGTGACCCAATATAGAGAAGCTAATGACACTCTTTGTCCCCTAAGGCCACCCTTTGTCCCTTGTAACTGGCTTCTGTTACAATAATCAGCCTGGTGTCTCCTTCCAGACCCATGATGGGGGCATGGCCTGCTCTGCATCATTTCCTGCCATTCATTCATTGGGTCACTTATTAACATTCCCTGGGGAGCCGGGTACAGTGGCTCACGCCTGTAATCTCAACACTTTGGGAGGCCGAGGCAGGCGGATCACGAGGTCAGGAGATCCAGACCATCCTGGCTAACACGGTGAAACCCTGTCTCTACTAAAAATACAAAAAAATACAAAAAATTAGCTGGGCGTGGTGGCGGGCACCTGTAGTCCCAGCTACTCGGGAGGCTGAGGCAGAAGAATGGCGTGAACCCAGGAGGCGGAGCTTGCAGTGAGCCGAGATTGCGCCACTGCACTCCAGCCTGGGTGACAGAGCGAGACTCCGTCTCGAAACAAAATAAAACAAAAGAAAACAAAACTAACATTCCCTGGGGATTGCAGGATTAATGTAACACAATCCCTGACCTTAAGGAATCAAAGCTCTACTCTTGAGCACCAGCTTGTGCCTGGAGCTGACTACCTGCCGATGGACCTTTGTGGAAGCAGTAACCTACTTGTATATCTAGACGTCTCTGTGTATGAAATTCCAGAAGATGTTCTCCACCCATTTGTTGGGAAACCTGAACACTGGGGTGGTCACTGGAGACTGGAATAATTGGATATTAGAATGTATCCTTCCTTTGCTACTGTGAGAGGTTCCATTCCCCACAAATGGGATGATTTTAGCCCTCTCTTCTCTCTCTCTCACCTTCCCTGGTTTTACTAAGTAACCAGACACATCTAGCAATGGCCCCACATAGCAATCTTTTTGTTTTTTTGAGACGAAGTCTTGTTCTGTTGCCCAGGCTGGAGCGCAGTGGCACGATCTCGGCTCACTGCTCACTGCAACCTCCACCTCCTGGGTTTAAGCAACTCCCCTGCCTGTCAGCCTCCCGAGTAGCTGGGATTATAGGCGTGCGCCACCATACCTGGCTAATTTTTGAATTTTTAATAGAGACGGTGTTTCACCATGTTGGTCAGGATGGTCTCGAACTCCTGATCTCATGATCTGCCCGCCTCAGCATCCCAAAATGCTGGGATTACAGGTGTGAGCCACCACACCCAGCCCCCACGTAACAATCTTAAGTTCCTCCTAAATTCTTGGTTTATCGTCATGGAGAGTCCTGTGTTCTCCCTGTTTATTGGGAAGTTCAAGGCCATGGGCTGTACTAAATGTGAACGTTCCACTTTCCCCAAAGCCTCTGCTTTAAAATAAAAAATATAACATGAGCTTAGAGAGGTCACCATAAAAATTCATCACTAAAAATAGGTTATTAATTCGGTAGATGCCTGATTTTGAAATGTCCTACTTTGTTACCCTAAATTTCAACCTTTGCGATATCCATGTTTGGCTAACAACTAGCTAGCATAGTGTTTATAGAATACAGGAGATTGGAAGAATTGGCAGAAATGTGTTTGAGGGTATATTTGCCCTTCAGAGAGAAAATAGCCCCCCAAAGCAAGGTGTTGCACATATCAGACAAATTTTTGTTTTATTCTAAACGCAACCAAGACACATAACTGGTGATAACGAAGCAGGCACCAAATTGTCTTCTGCTGTTAGTTTTGTGGTGAAGCGAAACCTACAAAGGTTAGCAGACAAGGCTGTGTTGGCTGCATGAAAGCACCTTATCAATGTCCTAAGATGTGAAGAAGAACATTTCTAGGTGCAAAAGGCCATTGGTGTTCAGCCCTGCAAGAGCCTGTCTCTCTGATTCATAAACCTGGACTTCAAATACCCAGTGTCACCTGGTCTGACCCTCTTTCCCAGGACCACTCAGCAAATTACATTCTCACCTGGTCCCAATTCCTCAGACTTCCAATCCCATTATCCATTTTCTAGCTAACAGCCTTGGTCCATCTTGAAGGCCTAATATTCAGACCTTCTTTCCAAGCAATGACTTTGACTGACATTCAGAAACCCTCTCCAGCTACTCTGCGTCTAGATGCAATGAGTAAATGCCACTTCCATAGGGTCTCCATTTAAAGAGAGAGAGACAGAGAGAGAGAGAGGATTATTAGCCAAGCACAGTTATTCTCTAGAATAAGCTAACACTTGTCTTTCCCATAAAGACTGGCAATGACATGAGGCCATTCCTTTCAAAAGAAGCTATGAAATCAACTGCCTTTACTTCTATCTGGAATTCATAAGGTTTTATGCCAAAAAAAAAAAAAAAAACCCAAAACTAAAATCTCGATTTGCTGCGTAAGTGGTAAATTGGGAAGTTATGTGGACTTCATAGCTTGTCTTTGGTTTAAGCAGCAGGATTTCCCAGCTGGTTTCTCTTGGCCCAGCTCTTGGATGTTGACACTATCTCTACAAAGAATACTCACCACTTTTGGCTATTTGGTACACTGTAATAATTCGCTGGCAGTTTACATGATAGATAACAGAGCTTTTAAAAGCAGATTTTTTTCCTGCCCCCCTCGTCAAAAATGCAGGGCTTAATTGTTCTTTCAGAGCATTACTGGGAGAGCTGAGGGAGGGCATGGAAACTAAAACAAAACTGAAGTCTGTGTGATGAATTTTCTGAAAATGTTCCATCATGCACCTGCTTGCTGGGCAGTGAAATTTGTTGAGGAAAACATTTGAAAAGGGGAGGTGACTCCTAGACTTAATGTACTGCCGGATTTCGTTGTTGATCAAAGCAAGGAAGCAAAACCATTCTTTTGGTTCCATTATTTCAAAAATGTAAAAATTATACACCTCAGCCTTACTGTATAAAGCTCTGTCAAACTATGCTTTAATAGCAAGAATTCTGGACTCTGAAATTATAGACTGGATTCTGCCCCCAACACATCGTGTGACCTAGAGCATGCTCTCATTCATTCATTCTTAAATATTTATTGAGTACCTAGTATATGTCAGACGCTAGGCTGGGAAGCAAGTATACTTAAGTAACGAAAACACCCTTCCTACTGAAGAAGTCAAAAATAAGAACTGAGTCTAGACAGGTGGAGGTCAGTGGCAACCTTAGCGAGAGTCATTTTCCTGGAAGTAACAACACCAGAAACTTTACTGGAGTGGGTGGAAGAGTAACTGGCAGGAGAACTAGAGATAGCAAGGACCAACAAGTGTTTCTAAACTTCTCAAGAAGGCAAACATATGTGAACTGCCCACTCTTACAGCAGAGACCTGATTTGCTGCCTAAGTGGTAAATAGGTACATAGATCAAGTCCCCTCCCCAGATATAGTAAATGGATAGTGCCAAAATTAAGCACTTGATGGGCAATTTCTCTCAATGAACTTTAAATTCAGAATGATTTGGATTCTATTCCACTGGTGCAGAATGATTGTCATTTTAATAAGGCTTAACCAAGGAAGATTTTTCTCTTCTATGCCTACGCTTCAGCCATCAGACACCACTGATTCTCTTTTGTGTCTTTTGGCAACTATAACATGAGTTTGGACTAAGGGCTTGGCTTTTAGAACACAGTTTTGCTTGGAGTAGATGATCCAAGGGCTGAAGACTGACATACTCTCTTTTTTTTTTTTTTTTTTTTTTAAGACTGAGTCTGGCTCTTGTCACCCAGGCTGGAGCACAATGGCATGATCTCGGCTCACTGCAACTTCCACCTCCCGGTTCAAGTGATCCTCTTGCCTCAGCCTCCCGAGCAGCTGGGACTACAGGTGCATGCTACCACGCCTGGCTAATTTTTTTGTATTTTTAGTAGAGACAGGGTTTTGTCATTTTGGCCAAGCTGGTCTCGAACTCCTGACCTCAGGTGATCTGCCTGCCTCGGCCTCCCAAAGTGCTGGGATTACAGGAGTGAGCCACCACGCCTGGCTGACAGACATACTCTTAAATTTTGTGGGTGTTGGGCTGGTGCCAGGAAAATCCTATGAGTACTATTGCTAAAAACCTTCCCTGACCCTCAAGCTACTTCTCTGTTTATCTCTTAACAGGGAAAACTTCTCAAAACACATGATACAAAGCACCTAGAATAATAGTACCTGGAACATAGTAAACATATATAAGTGTTTGTTGTTGTTTTTATTTCTAGGACTTAATTCCTCTGCATCTCCAGTTAGGACTTTGATGATGGGTGTTCCATTTTATCAGCTGGTAATTCTTGAGCATGAGGCAGGTGACCACAGAGAACTACCAAAAATAAACACTTTTATACATAGTAGGGTTTGAAAACCATAAAATTGATCATTACAATTATTGGGGGATTGGAGTACCTAGGTGAATGACTCTTGAGATACATGTATGAGAATGCATTCAGCTACAAGTAACAGAAAACATGGACCCACTCAATCTAAACAGTTAAGGAAATTTTAAAATTTCAAATTACGAGCATCCTGAAGAAGAGTGGCTTCAGAGTTGATTAATTCAATATCCAGTGACATCATCAAGGACCCATATTTCTTCTAATTTTCTTTTTTTGTTTGTTTGTTTTTTGTTGTTGTTGTTTTGTTTTGTTTTTTTGAGACAGAATCTCATTCTGTTGCCCAGGCTGGGGTGCAGTGGTGGGATCTCGTATCATGGCAACCTCCGCCTCCTGGGTTGAAGCGATTCTTCTGCCTCAGTCTCCTGAGTAGCTGGGATTACAGGCATGCACCACCATGCCCGGCTAATTTTTGTATTTTTAGTAGAGACGGGGTTTCACCATGTTGGCCAGGCTGGTCTCGAACTCCTGACCTCGTGATCTACCCACTTCGGCCTCCCAAAGTGCTGGGATTACAGGCTTGAGCCACTGCACCTAGCCTCTTCTAATTTTCAACTGTACCATGGCGCTAGCTTTATCAGCTTTGTCCTTGGTGAAACTATGCTCACAAGATGGCTGCTGCCATTCCACGCATTGTATGCAAACACTGAAATGTCCAAAGGAAGGAAAGAGCCTATCTCTTCCACTGTCTTTTTTTGTCAGTAGTGAAAACTATATCCCAAAGCTTCAGCATATTTCTCACATCTCATTGGCCAGAACTAAGTCACATTTCTAAACCAGTGTCCAGCAGGGGAGATATAGATTTAGATGGTAAATTTTGGTAGATTTTGAAGCTTGAGACTTTGCCAGCAAGGATGAGGGCAAATGGCCTTGGCAGTAGGCAATGGACACAGTGTGTATGGCAGAATTACTGCCTGGCCAGCATGTAAGCAGTAGGCAGACAGGTTGCTTTGCTTTAAAGAGTAGAGAATAATCAGGCCTCCTGGGACCTTCATTCAGTGCAAAAGTATATTGAGTAGACTAAGAGTGTTTTTTTTGTTTTTTGGGTTTTTTTGTTTTGTTTTTTTTTTTTTTTTTGAGATGGAGCCTCACTCTGTTGCCAGGCTGGAGTACAGTGGGGCGATCTCTGCTCCCTGCAACCTCTGCCACCTGGGTTCAAGCAATTCTCCTGCCTCAGCTTCCCAAATAGCTGGGACTGCAGGCATGTGCCACCACACCCAGGTAATTTTTGTATTTTTAGTAGAGATGAGGTTTCACCATGTTGGCCAGGATGGTCTTGATCTCTCGACTTTGTGATCCGCCCGCCTCGGCCTCCCAAAGTGCTGGGATTACAGGCATGAGCCACCGTGCCCCACCGACTAACAGTGTTTTATTAAAAAATATTTAACAAAGGCCTGGTTTTCTGTGCTAAGATTGATAAAGGAACAGTTTTGGAAACACTGCCTTGGGCTATTTCCTGCTGGATATACATTTATGGCAACTAATCAAAAACTTTCTGTGGACAATGGAAGCTCCAAACTCCTCCTGTGACCTACTGGCTGGAAGCGTCTGTTACACTACAAATTTAGTGAGGCTGGACAGTAAAATGTTTAAAATCTTCATAAAAATAAACCCCAAACAAATGAAACAACCACAACAATAAAAGCCCTGCTTTTCTTTTTCCTAATTGATTCCTTGGGAAATACAGTAGGAAGAGGTTAATGAAAAAGGAGCCCAGATAAATAGTTAAGGCGTTCCTGAGATGTAGGAAGGGCTAGAAGGGAGATTAAGAAATAAAGACTCATGGCCAGGCACGGTGGCTCACGCCTGTAATCCCAGCACTTTAGGAGGCAGAGGTGGGTGGATCACCAGAGGTCAGGAGTTCAAAACCAGCCTGGCCAACATGGCGAAACCCTGTCTCTACTAAAAATACAAAAATTAGCTGGGCGCGGTGGTGCATGCCTGTAATCCCAGCTACTCGGGAGGCTGGAGGCTAAGGCAGGAGAATTGCTTGAACCCGGGAGGCAGAGGTTGCAGTGAGCGAAGTTCACCATTGCACTCCAGCCTGGGCGACAGAGCCAGACTCCGTCTCTCCAAAAATAAAAATAAAAAATAAAAATAAAGACTCACAATCTAAAATCTGTGCTTTGCCCTTTAAAAGCCCAAGAGAGAATGTATTTGTCTCAGAGAAACTGTGCTGTGCAGCAGCTGCATGTCTGATGAGGCCAGACTGCAGCTTTTTGAAGCTTTTTTAGGGGGAAGTATTATTGTATTTGGCACTTGGCTCAACAGTATTTTCCATGATGACCACTAAAGTTTTCATATCTGGTTCTTGTTTACCACAATTTAAGTGATAATTATTTATCTCCCACATTTACCAATAATATTTTATACTTTTAGATCAATCACAACTCTTCTGAGTTAGCTTTCATGAGTTAACTAAGTACACACTCTTCACACAGAAAATAAAATATATAATGTAAAATATATATTACTCTTTAAAGTCTTAATCAAAATCATTTTTAAATTTTTAAGTAGAATTTCTGAATGTTATAGCTGAAGGTAGATTGGCTTATACCATCTGGCCAAAATCTGTAGCCAAAATATCAGTGAGATCACTAGCTGTTTCTGAATAGTCCCGAAACCTCCAATTTTGCTAGTATCACAAACTGACAAATAAGAGCATGAAGGCTTCTACAAAAAGACAACTGAAATGATAAAGTAGATGGAAGGATCATGCTAATACAGGCTAACAATGATTGTACTTGATAGAATGAGACAGAGGGCTTTGGAGATTAGTTAATAAAATCATAAAGGTTAATAAGAAAAACAACAGTCATTATTTATTGGTCATCTATTATGTGGCAAGCATCATACAGTGAGACTTCTAATGCACAGGGTTTAGGGTTACAAACAACAGAAACCATTTCTGGTTAAGCAGAGCAGAAAAGGACATTTTGGGAAGGAAAGGCTGGTAAACTCCATACTGAAAACTGGCAGGAAATAACAGGGCCTGGGAAGCTGAGACCACAGGGAAGGACGTATCTCATAGTTAGTCTGTTTAGGACACGACCACATCTGAACCACTGCATGTGCCTCCCTGGGACTCTGTGGCTTTCACTTGGTCAGCCTCTATTGAGTGCACCATGTCTTAGCTGCCAGAGAAAGGGAATTTCTGCCCTTCCTCAGCTTCCTTATTGAAGGTGGAGTTGTATCTCACCAAGGTCCTTCCAAAAGAGAATTTCACCATAATAAGAATGATATTTTCCAGCTTCATCCATGTCCCCACAAAGGACATGAACTCATTCTTTTTTATGGCTGCATAATACTCCATGGTGTATATGTGCCACATTTTCTTTATCCAGTCTATCTTTGATGGGCATTTGGGTTGATTCCATGTCTTCGCTATTATAAATAGTGCTGCAATAAACATATACATTGGGGCCTGTTTGCGGGTGGGGAGAAAGGGAAGGGAGAGCATTAGGATAAATACCTAATGCATGCAGAGCTTAAAACCTAGATGACGGGTTGATAGGTGCAGCAAACCACCATGGCACATGTGTACCTATGTAACAACTCCGCACGTTCAGCACTTGTAACCCAGAACTTAAAGAAAATAAAATAAAATATATATTTAAAAAGAATTTATATACTGTACATTCTGAGACATTATCCTTAAAGAATTCTGAGCCAGAAAGAAAAAAGAATGATATTCAGTTGCTGCATAGTCTAACAGATAAATAAATGGTCACTGAGGTCCATAACCCTTCTTCCTATATTTAAAAAAAAAAAAAAGCCTTTAAGAGATTGCTCTCCACTAACATAATACCCATGCAGCTATCCTTTTTACAACTGAAAATGAGCTATGAAATGTTCTGTTTGAAACACTGCCTATGGTGAGATGGTGCTCCTTCACTCTCCTGCAAGACCACCCGTGAGGGCCACCACAGTGCTAGATCTTAGCTTATGTACACAGGGCAGACTCACTGCACACCTAACTCAAAGGTTTCCTTTTCTGTTACTGGAAAATCCCATGATGTCATAGATGTGGAATGGCAGCAGAGTAAAAGGCATAAGTATACTCGGAACCTGAGCAAGGGATGGATGCAATTTATTTGTGTCTTCAAAATCATTTGGGGTCCAGTCTTGCGTGTGTGTGTGTGTGTGTGTGTGTGTGTGTGTGCGTGCGTGTGCACTTGTGTATACATTTTAGTCAACCAACCAAGCCATCAATTAGAACGACTTGCAGTTGTTTGAGCTAGTACACTGGATTGAGTCTAAAGAATATGTGCCCAGATCAAAATTATCTTGCAACTGACCCTTTTTCACTAAGACTACGGTTTTTAATCGAACTCCCAGCTCAGAGCATGCTAGCATATGAGTTTATTTACAGGCATGGAGCACATAAATAGAACTAGCTTCTTCTTCAAAGATAATGGCCTTAGGCAAGAGAGTTTTAATACCTTCAAGCAAGAGAAAAAGAGCCTCATCAAACATGAGGAGGAACAGCTGCTTCACTTAATTCTAAGTGGGAGAATTACTGAGGGCTGGGAGTGTCCAGTGCTCTGAATCCTCTCATATATCCCTATTCCAACTCTTGAGGGCCTGCTATTTTGTCAGCAATAACCTAGTTTATACAATAACCTAGTTAAAAGACATTTGGTGATGCCGTGAATTCAACAGACATTGCATTGGCAATCAACAGAATCAAACTTTGCTTTTGGTTTTCAGCTGTAATAGATAGGAGATTATTTAACTACAGTCATTCAGAGTTCCTGGTTTCTGAGTTCTAAGCCAACATTTTAGAGATTTGAGGATATCATTTCATCTCTTTATGTTGTCACCTATAGTCCATGAATTCCTCATGCTCTTGTAGATACAAAACACAACACAAACACGACACATACCATTCTCTTTCTGCCTTTGTCTTTTCCATATTTTAAGTTTTAAAGCTTCTCAACCTGTTTACCCCCCTCACAGCTAACAATGTGATTTAATTACTAAGCTTGAAGCTGTACCTTCTAACCTCTGATGAAAGAAAACTCAAGAAAAATAAGGAGACAAATGTTCACTCTTTCCCTTCAGCTACAGAAAAGCAGATATGATTTTGTGTGAGGATGCCATACGTGTAAGTACATTTTCCCAACTAAGGAGTCTTGTAAAACTCTCAGACATGAGATGGTTTCAGTGGTCTGGAAAAGTTACCTTTAACCTAAAGAAAAAAAGCTGCAATTGTCTGTTATTTTAATTATTTGATGCCTGAATATAATATGTAGAGTGATATCCTCATTTTTATAAAGGCTACAAGTACTTGTGAAGTTTCTTTGACAAACCAGAAGGGTTTTATTAGTACTTCTCTGTTTATACTACATGCATGGATGTAAGAAAATTAAATAAACATTTTCACTCTGTTAGATTTCTTATTTAAACAAAGTATCTCAGACTATTTCAATAACATCCTTTAGATTGTTCTATGACAGCAAACACTCACTATGCCTTTGAGGGGATCAGATGCATTGATTTAATTAACTGTCAGACCACCATATACCTTAGTCTGCCAGATTCTCACAACCCCAATTAGGCTAGAAATGATTACAGATTACTCCCTTTCCCCTGATAGTCTATCATTGTCTGTAACCTACTCACTAGTGGCAATTTATGTACCAATGAGTGTTCTTGGTTGCAAACATCAGACAGAAAATTATTTTATTGGAAGGTTATTGTATAGCTCACAGAATATATGGAAGGAATTGAAATTAAAGCTCAAAACAAATGTAGCATTAAAGAAAGCAAAGACACAAAAACCACGATCAAGGCCATGTCTCTCAGAGAGAATCTGGTTAGGGTGCTACTGTAGGTACTGTCATCCCTCGAGAGTCACTGCTGCTGCCACAGATTTTTGATTCTGCTCTGTCCACCAGGAACAAACTCTGTATGGCCCTGTATGTTTGTTTTGCTTCCTCAAAAGGGACATTTGATTGGTTCAGTCTAGGTCACATGCTCATGCTCTCCTTGCAAGCGTGTGGAGAGAGGAATCTCTGCCCTCTGATAGACATTTGCATATCTATTATCCATGTGTTCTGGCTGCTCAGGACCCTTTGAACATCTTGTAATCTCTAAGTAGTCCACCCTGCCCCAGTGGGTCCCGACTTCCCAAAGCAGAAATTTGAAAAATCTCTCCTCCAGGTACCTTTGCAGCTTTGACCCAGACATGTGACCTCAGCTTCACCCATCAGCAGGGAACTACACAAGGAATCAGGCTCTGTGTGGAGCACCCATTTTGTGGGGTTGCTAGATGCAAGGTTGAGTTTGTCATGCAGAAGTGGCATCGAAGCTGTAGCAAGATATTGAGTTCCTAACAAGGGTGCAAACTCTAGTACTCAGGGGCAGCACAGCAGCTTTCTCAACAGGCCAGCTCCCCAGCATGGTTTCAGGCATTGTTCCTAAGCTCTTGAGTTTCTTTCTTCATCCCTCCCAATGATGTAAGTTAGCTCTCTTCAGCTTAGTCATCCAGAATCAGTTTGTTTTGATCAAAGTCAGGAGACCCTGGCTGGTGATGCGTACTCTACTTCAGTTTCCACATCAGAAATTGGGACCCTGGGCTGGGTGCGGTGGCTCACGCCTGTAATCCCAGCACTTTGGGAGGCCGAGGCGGGTGGATCATGAGGTTAGGAGTTTGAGACCAGCCTAGCCGACATGGTGAAACCCCATCTTTACTAAAAATACAAAAATTAGCTGGGTGTGGTGGTGTGTGCCTGTAGTCCCAGCTACTTGGGAGGCTGAGGCAGGAGAATTGCTTGAACCCTGAAGGCAGAAGTTGCAGTGAGCTGAGATTGTGCCACTGAACTCCAGCCTGGTGACAGATCGAGACTCCATCTAAAAAAAAAAAAAAAAAAAGAAGAAGAAGAAGAAAAGAAAAGAAATTGGGACCCTATTTTCCACTAAGACCAAAGTAATGAGAATTTCATCCTGAGTAAGAAGGATATTCTGGCTGGGTACAGTGGCTCACACTTGTAATACCAACACTTTGGGAGGCCAAGGTGGGCAGGTCACTTGAGCTCAGGAGTTCAAGACCAGCCTGGGCAACATGGTGAAATCCTGTCTCTACAATTTTTTTTTTTTTAATTAGCTAGGTGTGGTGGCATGCATCTGTGGTCCCAGGTACTCTGGAGGCAGAGGTGGGAGGATCACTTGAACCTGAGAGGTCGAGACTGCAGTGAGCTGTGATCATGCCACTGCACTCCAGCAGCACAACACACACACACACACAAACACACACACACACACACACGCACAAAGGAAAACAAACAAAAAAAGAAGGATATTCCAACCTTGGGTAGTCCCTTGTCCCCACAAAAATGACACACTAATACTACAGTAGTATTCTCACATGTATTATCTCCAGCATTTATAGCAATCCTTAAATTTGCTATGACTTTGTCACTTTAGAAATTAAATTAATCAAGGCTCAAAGAGATAAAGCAACTTGTATAAAGTTACACAAGCATGCAGGTGACAGAGCAGCAACTAAACCCATCAAGTTTCGATTCCCAACAAGCATTCTAAGCCAGAACGAATTCCTAACTCTTGTTATTTTCCACTATGACACACCTTTTTATTCACTGAAAGTAGTAATAAAAACACAAAACAGGCCGGGCGCGGTGGCTCACGCCTGTAATCCCAGCACTTTGGGAGACCGAGGCGGGCGGATCACCTGAGGTTAGGAGTTCAAGATCAGCCTGTTCAACATGGCGAAACCCTGTCTCTACTAAAAATACAAAAAAATTAGCCAGGCATGGTGGCGGGCACCTGTAATCCCAGCTACTCGGGAGGCTGAGGCAGGAGAATCACTTGAACCCAGGAGGCGGAGGTAGATCCCGCCACTGCACTCCAGCCTGGCGACAGAGCGAGACTCCGTCTCAAACAAAACCAAACAAAACACAAAACAAAAACCACAATGTTAACAACAGCAAACTTTTTCCTCCAAGAAAGCATGTTGTACCTATTGAAAGAATTTTCCGAAAGGAGGTATTATATAAGAACATTCCAGAAGGTGACAGACAATGTCCTCACCAAGAATTCCACAATGAACATAGAGGAGAGGTCCATTCAGTTGATTCTTGGGGCAGTAAAGCCTTCTATCTAAGCACACAGGGACTGAAGCTTCTGCTGTTTGAGCTGTGATGATCCCGAGGAAGTCCTTTAACCTCCTTGAGCTTCATCTTACTTGTCTAATAATAGAGCCATCTCCTTCATCATGATGCTGGAAAAATAAGATGCATATAAAGGACTCAGGGGGTGCAGTGTCTGACATACATTAAATGCTCAAGAAAGGTTGGCTATTATTATCCTTGGGTGACCTTTGATAAAATGTGGAGGCAGTCCACAGAGAAGCACGTCAGCTGAGGTTCTGAGGGAGGCTATAGTGATGAGGTCGAAGCCTTACATGGGTCCAAGTGGATCCTGTTCCTCTACTGGAGTTAACTCCTAGGCTGAGTTTTATTGTTTTTCCCAGAGAAAATAACATCTACCTTCCCTAATTCACAGTCATTAAGTGAGTAAAAGAAGATAATGTATTTGCCAAAAAAAAAAAAAAAAAAAAAAAAAAAGCACTGGGAAAAAAAGTTAAATGCCATCAAGTTGTAAGGTATTGTTGTCCTTGTGGTTGTTATTATTTCTGGAAAGCTTTTACTCTGGTAAATAATAAGACTTACTCTTGAAAGCCCTTTAAGTACATAGGGCCTAAATATGTGACCTAAAGGGAAAAAAAATGATTTCAGGGATTTAAATCAGTCTGGCAAAAGGAAGGTTGAACAGGGTGATTTAATTACTTTTTGTAACTGAATATTGCCTCCACATGGAGGGTGGTGACCAAATCGTCTGGTTTCTACCAAGGTCTAAAGAATAGGAAATTAATTTTTGGTGCAAGTGGAGAAGATTAAGTTAACACTGAGAATCACCTCCAGACATTCGGTTGGAAGGATTAAAGATGCCATATGTAAATGCTATCCATGTAACATTAGGGGCTTTCCAGAATGAGAAGTCAAGGTGGATGCTTGAACCAAAAAAAAGAGCCAGTGGTTTATAAAATAAGATGATAAATTGTATTCTAAAGGGAAGCTGGGATGGGCCATGAGCTCTCTAAAATGGAAGCTTGGAGCCAAGCAGCTGATAGGAAGTAGTCCCAGCAAATCCATGATTATTATTATTATTTTTGAGATGGAGTCTCGCTCTGTTGCCCAGGCTGGAGTGCAGTGGTATGATCTCGGTTCACTGCAACTTCCGCCTCCCGGGTTCAAGCGATTCTCCTGCCTCAGCCTCCCAAGTAGCTGGGACTACAGGCATGCGCCACCAAGCCCGGCTAGTTTTTGTATTTTTAGTAGAGACGGGGTTTCACCATCTTGGCCAGGCTTGTCTCGAACTCCTGACCTCGTGATCCACCCACCTTGGTCTCCCAAAGTGCTGGGATTACAGGCATGAGCCACCACGCCCAGCCAAATCCATGATTATTAAAATGCCATCCTATTCCCACTGGGAGGGAGGTAGAAGGGGATGGGGTGAGAGAGAATAGCATAAACCAATTCAGTTTTGAGTCAAAGAATCACTGACAGTTTTCAGGTAAGCTCCCTGTTGAAGACAGGGTGTTCCCAGAATAGAGTTTAAGATTAGGCTACATGAGGAGGTCAAGTCTGTATTGCAGTGAGAATTAGAGAGATGCAGTTGAGAGCATGACAAAAGTTTGAGCTGGGTTTCCTGCTCGTCCTAACAGAGGCAAAACTGGAAGACAGAGTGACAGAATATTGTTGGAGAAGGTTCCAGAACTGTGCTGACTCGGATCAGCATTAATTCATGCTAAGTGAATTAGTGAAACCCTGTCTCTACTAAAAATACAAAAATTAGTTGGACTTGGTGGTGCACGCCTGTAGTCCCAGTTGCTCAGGAGGCTGAGGCAGGAGAATCGGAAGCTCAAGGTAAATCAAGCCTGAGTTTTCAGTGGGACCACACTGCTACTTGGCAATCCATTTATTCATCTCTTTTGATTCCCCTAAATACCCTCAATAGCTGTTCATGTCCTATTGTTCTCTTCAAGACTCTCCCTCCTACTCACTAAGCTCCAGCTATACTGAACTTTGTTTAGTTGTTCAGACATGGCAAGTTCTCCTGCCTCATTGCTTTGCACATGCTATACCTCCTACCTGGAACACTTTTTAAACTCACTAATTCTCTGAATAACTCCTACTTTATTTATTTATTTTTTTGAGACAGAGTCTTGCTCTGTCGCCCAGGCTGGAGTGTAATGGCACGATCTCGGCTCACTGCAACCTCCGCCTCCCAGGTTCAAGCAATTCTCTTGTCTCAGCCTCCTGAGTAGCTGGGATTACAGGCACATGCTGCCATGCCTGGCTAATTTTTTGTATTTTAGTAGAGATGGGTTTCACTGTGTTGGCCAGGCTGGTCTCGAACCCCTGAGCTCAGGCAATCCACCTGCCTCGGCCTCCCAAAGTGCTAAGATTACAGGTGTGAGCCACCGCGCCCGGCCCATTACTCCTACTTTATATCTCAGCCTCAATGTCCCTTCCTCAGAAAGACTGTCTTTTAAAAAATTATTTTACTTTAAGTTCCAGGATACACGTGCAGAATGTGCAGGTTTGTTACCTAGGTATACATGTGCCGTGGTGCTTTGCTGAACTTATCAACCCATTATCTAGGTTTTAAGCCCTCCATGCATTAAGTATTTGTCCTAATGCTCACTCTCCCAGCCAGGCACCGGTGTGTGTTGTTCTTCTCCCTGTGACCATGTGTTCTCATTGTTCATCTCCCACTTATGAGTGAGAATATGCGGTGTTTGATTTTCTGTTCCTGTGTTAGTTTGCTGAGAATGATGGCTTCCAGCTTCATCCATGTCCCCACAAAGGGCATGATCTCATTCTTTTTCATGGTTGCATAGTATTCCATGGTGTATATGTCTCACATTTTCTTTATCCAATCTATCATTGATGGGTATTTGAATTAGTTCCAAGTCTTTGCTACTGTAAATAGTGCTGCAATAAACATATGTGTGCATGAGTCTTTAGAGTAGAATGATTTATAATCCTTTGGGTATATACCCAGTAATGGGATTGCTGGGTCAAATGGTATTTCTGGTTCTAGATCCTTGAGAGATTCCCACACTGTCAGAAAGACTGTCTTGAACTCTAACTTTGGTTATGTCCCATAGTACCTCTCCCATTTTATTTGTGGCATTTGCCCCACTTAATAATAATGTATATATTTGTGTTCATTTGCTTAATGTTTGTCTGTCCAACTAGAGAATACCTTCTGTAAGACAAAGAACATGTCTGTTCTGTTGATTACTAGCACCAGTCTAGAACGGTAGGCCCTCAACTAATCCCGGTTGAATGGATTAATGTTCATCAACTCTGATGTCTCCATTAGAGACCTTTTCCACCAGTTTTCAGCATGGATTTTACCTGTCTTTACCAAGTTTTTATTTTCAACTACACAGCTATGGGTGGAGATGGAGAAGCTTCGTCATGCGCTACCTTTATTGGGCCTGTAGAAACTGCAGGAGCCTGGAATTCATAGATGGGACCTTCAACAGAACTCCAACCACCTGCCTTCTATTTGAGAAACTCTAGGTATTGACTCACCAGACTCTGAAAGGTCTAGACACCACAGGAAAAGCAGAATAGGGACACACAGTGAGAGGAAGAGCTGGGAATTGTAGTTTTGCACACTCCACTTGTTCAGAGTATCAGGGAGCCAGCTGGAAGAGAAAGACAAGTTTTTTTAGTTTTGATTCAGCAAAGCCACATAAGATGTGAGTCAGCCAGGGAGGGGACTTTCAGCCAGGAGCTATTTGTGCATATCAACCTTTTGTCTAGCTGTAGAGCTGAAAAATAGTTCAAAACTACTACTCTGAGAATTGGGCGATGGGAAATCCGTCAACCTAGGGTATTAGTAAACACTGGGTGTAGATGGATTTGTTCTTACTTGAGGATAAATGAGAAGAAATCACCAACCACACTAAGTCAGTGGAAAACACTGCACAATAAGAGAAAGGGAAGGAAAGGGAATATCTTAAAGGCTTAAAGAAAGAGAAATTGTCTCCAAATGATTTACTATGGGAAATAAAGTAATGCTTTAGAATGTGCTTGACATCGATAAAACTGTAGCAGAAAGGCCAAGATGTCAAGACAAAGAAAATGAAATTAAAAGGGAGACTAGTGGCATAAATAAGGATTGTAAGGAGAATGAAAAATGAAACAGAAATGGAAAAATTAAAGTCTACAATGAAGCCGTAAAGAGCAGAATTGAACATATGGAAATGTAAGTCAGTAATGTGGAAGATGAACCAGGGTTGCCCTCTTAGAAGGCATTTATCAATGATTTGGGTTGAAATAATGAGATAGTGAATGACACGTAATATTAGATGGAACATACAGACAAAAAATAAATACAAGGCACTATCCTGAATCTTTACCCACTCCCTCCCCAGCTCTTTAGTTAAGACTGCGAACAACCAGCCGGGCGCTGTGGCTCACACCTGTAATCCCAGCCCTTTGGGAGGCCAAGGCGGGCAGATCACGAGGTCAGGAGTTCAAGACCAGCCTGGCCAGCACGGTGAAACCCCACCTCTACTAAAAAAATACAAAAACTTAGCCAGGCATGGTGGTATGTGTGTGTAATCCCAGCTACTTGGGAGGCTGAGGTAGGAGAAATTGCTTGAACCTGGGAGGCGGAGGTTGCAGTGAGCCAAGATCATGCCACTCTCCAGCCCAGGCAACAAAGTGAGACTCCGTCTCAAAAAAAAAAAAAAAAAAGATTGCTAACAACCAGCTGGGCACGGTGGCTCACACCTGTAATCCCAGCACTTTGGGAGGTTAAGGTGGGCGGATCACGAGGTCAGGAGTTCGAGACCAGTTTGGCCAGCACGGTGAAACCCCATCTCTACTAGAAAATACAAAAAAATTAGCCAGGCATGGTGGCACGTGCCTGTAATCCCAGCTACTCGGGAGGCTGAGGTAGGAGAATTGCTTGAACCTGGGAGGCGGAGGTTGCAGTGAGCCGAGATCGCGCCACTACACTCCAGCCTGGGCAACAGAGCAAGACTCCATCTCAAAAAAAAAAAAAAAAAAAGATTGCGAACAACCTTCAGAAAGCCCCTGAGGTTTTGCTTCTAGTGGCTCAGAGCTGTCCCTCCAACTTCATGTCTTAGTCTTACCTTTTATTCTGTTCTCCTTTTTTTTAAGTACTGGCACTTTGTAGAGGCAAGGTGGCATGGTGGTTAAGAGCACACTTCTAGAAATAAACCGCCTGTGTTTGGATTCCAGGTCTACTGTTACTGTGTTATCTTTGGTAAGTTATCTGACAGCTTTAGGTCCTAGTTATCTAATCTGTAAGTGGCCATGATGGTGACAGTAACAGTAACTGTTAACACCTCACAGGGCTTACTATAATTAAATGAGGTAATGCATGAAGGTGTTTTGAATAGTGCTAGTTGCAAATTGCAACTCCATGGTAAATCATTATTCTAATTTTTTTACATTATCCCTGGTTTCTTCCTTTCTATTCAACTCCAATTAGTACTTCTGGGGTGATATTTCATTTGAGGCTTTTAAGGGACACTCTAGATTTTGGGTTCTGTCTTGGTTGTATTTTCTGGAGCCCACGTAGAAATCTTATCCTTAGCTCTTGAATGCTACCTTAACCACAGTCTGCGGCTAGTATCCCAGATCCCCACATAGGGAAGTCAAACAAGAATTATTGATATTTTTTGAAAGGAACTAGAATAAACAAGTAAACAGAAGTAAGAAGGCCGGGCACAGTGGCTCACGCCTGTAATCCCAGCACTTTGGGAGGCCCGAAGCAGGCGGATCACGATGTCGGGAGATTGAGGCCATCCTGGCTAACACAGTGAAACCCTGTCTCTACTAAAAATACAAAAAATTAGCCGGGCGTGGTGGCGGGCGCCTGTAGTCCCAGCTACTCGGGAGGCTGAGGCAGGAGAACGGCATGAACCCGGGAGGCAGAGCTTGCAGTGAGCCGAGATCGTGCCTCTGCACTCCAGCCTGGGGGACAGAGAGAGATTCCGTCTCAAAAAACAAAAAAAGTAAGAAGTATGCCCAGATTTACTCTGTGGGGGCAATTTGGTTAGCACTTAGGAACTGGGGGACCGGAGTGGGGGGTGGGAGGAAGGCTATATTAGGAGGCTGATGATAGACAGGTAGGTTTTGTGAGATTCCAGGTGAGAGATAGGGTCTGAGGTAAGACAGTAACAGTTTGGATGAAGCAGAGGGAATGGATTTGAAGGATATTCTGAGGGTAGGTTGGACAGGGATGGGTGATTGAGGAAAAACAGTAGATGAAGCTCATGAATAGTTAAGAATTTAACTTATTATCTTTTAGTGTTTTATCTCTATCTACTTGACCGTGAGCCACTAAAAGAACAAGAACTGTCATTTTTCTTAAAATCCTCAATGGTCAGCATAGTAACTGACACAAAGCAGGGATGTATTTTCAACTAATCTTGGATCTAACTTAGCTTTTCAGTCTCTGATCTCTTAAACAAATGCTTTACCATAGCAATCACACCTTCTGCTTAACATCCTTGCTGTTTCTCAAAGCTCGAAACTTCTTCCCTTTACAGACGGCCAAATCTTGACAAATCTTTAAAGTCCAGCAAGGGCCTCTTCCTTTTAGAAGTCTTCCAAAGACAAGATGGACCATGGTAGCCTTGCTCTTCCAGATTGACGGCACTGGTTGTCCTCAATGCATCTTTCATGATTACTCAGTGACAACCCTTCCATTTATCTAATACTTGCAAAGTCATTTAACTCATCAAAGTAAATGCTTTGTTCCATGAATTGGATCTGGAGATTCTCAAGTATCGGAACCATACCCACATTTCTTTCAGTGCACTCTCCCCACTACTCTCACCCCGTAGAACGCATAGCACTTGAGCATGTGAATAGCAGCTACCCAATATATCATGGGCCACATAATCACTCGGTTTCCACTTCTAAATACGCAGGTTCCATTTAAAATCTTTTTAAGTTAGAAATTCTTTTAAAATATGGTTTAAGATAAGAAACTCCTCACTTTCTAGCAGGACTGGATAAAACACTGCCAGACACAGCCCCTCCCTGGCATCCAGACATTCTTTAATCTCCCAAGAGAGAGAAAACCAATTTGAGGCTTGGATCTGGGAGTTTAACTGGGACACAATTACATGCCCTCTTCTCACAGAGGTCATCAAGCCAAATCCCCTAATTCTGTGAGCACCGCGCACTCAAGTCCAAGCGTACAAAAATCAAAGCCGAAGCTCCAAGTGCCAAGGTGAATAAAGGACCTGTTACAGGAACTTTAAATCATCAGCATTTCTCAAGTCAGATTCTTGCCAGAGCATAGATCTACCAAGGTTAAAGCAAGGGTTCTGGAAGCAGACTCCAGGTCCCACGATAGAAATACTAGCAGAAACTACATGGCAGAGGCAAGGATGGTTAAAGGACCAACCGAGCAGGTGGGGTTTCAGAAGGACCAACCAAACAGGTGGGGTCTCAGGATTTGATTGCAGATGCAATAGGAAATTAGAATGATACCCAGTCCCCCAGGCAAAAGGAAGGTGTGGCTGAGCAGAACAACCATATGTGATGAGTGTTGGGTGGAGGATGGGAACTTTCTTTCTTCCACAAAAAAGTGGAAGAAAGCAAACCCCTTCCCTCATGCTCTTTTATAAGGGCCCTAATCCCTGCTGTCATGACTTAATCACCTACTAAAGGCTCCCCCTCTTAATACAATGATGCATGTGGGTCATCCTAGGCCTCTGTTTCACACCATTATAGAAGAGCAAATAATTTCCAAACTGAATTTCACTCTGGAGGAAAGGGAGCCCCTTGTACCCTTCCAGCATTGGCTATAATTGCATCCAGGAATAGGGTGGATGAGAATTGCTGAGTCTGAATCTTTTGGCAGTAGGTCTTTATTACCTGTATCAGTTAGGATGTTCAAGTAAGAGAAGACTCAATTAAAACTTACACAATAGGTAGATTTTTTTGGCTCACATAAACAAGGAGCTTGGAGTCAGGACAAATGTCAGGGTTGGTTTCATTCAGTGACTTAATGATATCATCAAGGGTCCTAGAGCAGGTAGTTAATTGGTACCCAAGAGCCATTTCTCCTCCTTTGCTAACAAAATCCAAAAATGTTCCATTTCTAGATGGTGATTCATGACAAACTTAAGTCAATCACAAGGAGAAGTCTACTAATAAAAGGGAAGCCTCTTTCTACATGCTTTTTAGCCCCCTGCTTTTGTTAATGGCTGTTGTGAAACCTCAGTTCTTGTCTTCTTAGTTTAAAAGAATTTAAACAAGAGACACACAGCAAAGGAGATGCAGCATAGAGCAATTTATTGCAAAGGAGGAAGAATGCTATGAAAGCTAGGTGCAGAATAGACAGTACACCCTGAGAAAAGATTCAGGGCGGGCTGCTCCTAAGGATGAGACAGCAAAGACTGGCACTAGGGACACTCCCTTTATGGGAGTCTTATATGATTATTCATAACGGGGTGGGGGAGAGGTGTTACTAGTAAGCATGTTCTGGGTGGCCCTCTAGAAGCCCATGCGCAGTAGCTGTACATGCTTGTTCATACGTTTCATGTCTCGTTAGCATCTTAAATATCCACCCAGGGGTGCTTTTTTTTTTTATCATTACAATGAGCAAAGGGTCAGTCTGAGGACAGGTGAAATAAAAATGCACATGCATTTTGCACAGGGGAAATTCCCAACAGGAGATAGCTTTGCTTGAGTGGGTTGACTCAAGTATGAATGCTTGACTACAGTATGACTACAGTATGAATGCTGGGGCTTACTGTGTTGATGGTGCAATTAGTACAGTTGCTGCATCCCGAGGACATGGTTACTTCCTTGACTATCCTGCCTCAGTTTGGATGCTGGTTTGGGAACACAATGTCTGGAGCTCTCACAGCCATCTTGTGATCATGAGGAAACATGGAATGCCAATATGCTGAGGAGGCAGAATATCAAGACTAGAAGATCTTGAGTCCTTGACGAAATTGTTGAGCGGTTGCACCAAACCTGGACTTACTTACCTCGAGATTTATCATTACGTGAGATCATTATTATTTAAGGTTAGCTGGGTATTTCTGTTATTTGCAGCTCAAAGTATCACTAACTGATATGGATTGAGTTTTCTGTCTCTCTGTGCTCTGTTATCCTCAGTGTCAGCTTTATCTTCTGTAGTGGCAAAATGACTGCAGAAATACTAAGCTTTGTATCTGTACATCAAATTGGTCCAGAAGGTAAAAACACACTTTTAGTGATCCAGCATACACATAAGAGTTGTGAGATTCACCCTGACTGGACCAGCCTAGGTTATCTACTCAGCTTTGAACCAATGATAGTGGTCAGTGGCATGGAATATATTGATTAGCTTATGCTATTCAGGATCTGCTCCTGGAACTGAGAATAAGAATCAAAACCAGGATTCTTTTAGCAAATGCTCTCAATGCCTTGCTCATATCCCCTAGGCTCACCTGGGTGATCACCTCCACCTTTGATGGGCAGTTTCCATATACACTAAAGACTTCCAACCTTAAGCACCTGCAACTCTCTGCTGAGGTTATTCTCGGGCCATGGAAGCACAAGTGAAGTCTCAGGCGTTATGAATTCCCAGGAACCACCCTCAACAGATGACGGAGTTTGATGGATAAATATTTCTTTAGGTTTCTTGACCTAGTGAGATGGTTCTTAAGTTATGTTCTACATTTGTAGTGTCCAACACAATAAGCCAACACATGTGGTTATTACAATTCAAATTAATTGACAATAGATAAAATGAAACATTCAGTTCTCAGTCACAGTGGCCTCATTTCAAGTACACAACAATTGCATGTGGCTAGTGTCTACCATATTGGACAGTGCAGATAGGTCATTCCATTGCACAGAAAGTTATTTTGGGCAGTGCTATTCTGCACAATCTCTCTGAGCATACTCTCAGAACTGAGCACATGTTGATCACTTATTAATTCACCTTTCTTTAGCCTTCTTTCCTTACCTATTTTGTTTCCCCACACCTTCACTCTATCTTAGTCCATTTGTGCTGCTATAACAAAATACCTAAGACTGGTAATTTATAAAGAACAAAAATTTATTTTTTACATTTTTGGTGGCTGGGAAGTCCAAGATTATGGCACTGGCGTTTGGTGTCTGGCAAGGGCCTTCCTGCTGTATCTTCACATGACAGAAAAATGGAAGAACACAAACCCACTCCTTCAAGCCCTTTTATAAAGGCCCTAATCCCTGCCCTCATGATTTAATCACCACCTAAAGGCTCCATCTCTGAATACAATCACATTGGTGATTACCTTTCAACATGTGAACTTCAGGAAATACCCAAATCGCAGCACTCTGCTTCCTGGAATCACCTCCCAAATAAGCTTCTTGCCGCAAAGTCCTTGTCTCAGGGTTTTGAAGAATCCTAACCAAGGAAATACTCTTAGGAAGAGGAAAGAGAGGGAAGGATGTTGTTGACTTCCAACAAATGTCTTCTACATTCTTGCTACTCAAAGCATGGTCCACGAATGGCAGATTTTTAGAAAAGCAGAGTCTCGCCAGGAGCAGTGGCTCACGCCTATAATCCCAGCACTTTGGGAGGCCGAGGCAGGCGGATCATCTGAGGTCAGGAGTTAGAGATCAGCCTGGCCAACGTGGCGAAACCCCGACTATACTAAAAATACAAAAATTAGCTGGGCGTGGTGGCAGGTGCCTGTAATCCCAGGTACTCAGGAGGCTGAGGCAGGAGAATCACTTAAACCTGGGAGGTGGAGGTTGCAGTGAGCCGAGATTGCGCCACTGCACTCCAGCCGGGCGACAGAGCGAGACCCTGTCTCAAAACAAACAAACAAAAAAACAAAAAACAAAAGAAAAGCAGAATCTCAGGCCTCACCCCAAACCTACATAACCAGGATCTGCATTTTAACAAGATTCCCCAGGTGATCTGGCTACACAGTAAACTTTGAGATGTTCTGCCTCATAGCTCTTTTAAACAGAGGGAGGAGAAAACAGAAACTGATAAAAACACACCCTTTAAACAGGGCTTCACACTAAAGAGCTCCAAAAGGTATATGTCATAATGTTTCATTTCAGGACTCTGGTGCTTTTACCAATGTTTAAATTTTTTGTTTTCATTTTTGTCTTGAGGATCTTATGGCCCACTAGCTTGAGCTCCCCTTTCCTTGAGAAGAAAAGCTCCCTTTGTCCTTTGAGTTGACCTCTTTGGCACTGATTTTTTTCTTTCTGTCTCTAGAGGGGCTTTGACTCCCCAGTTCAGCATTTTATCATAAGGTGGTCAGAGAGCCAATACCTGACAAAGTCCTACTCTGACGGACTTTCACAGCTGGCGAGTGAATAAACCCTCTCTCCTAAAAGACAATGGGATTCTCTATCTACAGCCAAATTTGTTCTAATTAGCTGGCTCTCAGCTTTGCAGGGGCAAGTCTTCTGGAGGTTAATAATGCTATTTTGAGCATACCTGTATCTCGCCTGTTAATGAACATGATGATGTCAGCATAAAATAGTTTCATTCCACAAAGAAAGACTTTATCCCCATTCCCTGTCTCATGTCTCCATTCTGGACTTGCTTGTTTTTACTTAAATTATGTTCAAATCACACTTCCATTAGTGTTAATTTGGTGGCTTTTGCAATGTTTTTTCATTCTTTACCTAACAGGTGATTTCTTCTTTGCTTAGCCCGGATGGAGACATTTGTTTTGTTCAGCAATGTCTTTTGATTATTGGCCTAAATAAAAGAGCAATGTTTCATGCCCGGTGCTTAAATTTTTGCTTGAAGTGTGTCAGGACAGAGCATCTTTGGCAGATATTTATCTAGCATTGGTTTAAGGAAAACTAGGCTTTTTCAAACCTGTGCTATCTGAATGCTGTTTGATTCTTGACTCTCATAAAGGACATCTTAACTTTACCTACTGGTAAGATATGGAAAAAATACTATGTGACTGCTAAGGATCTGGAAGCCATGAAAATTTAATTGCTAGTTAAAAATTTTAGGCAGCTTTCTGTAGGATCAGACCCGACATTTAGATGTTTTGATAAATATAACATTAATTAAGATACTGCAATCCTTCCATACTGGCTAAGTAGCCCTTGGAGTAATCACCCCTCCACTACCACTGGCTGCCATTCCCACTATACCCTGTCTCCTCACCCCTGCTGCAGGAACCACTCCTTCCTCCCAACATCAACACCACCATTTCACCAGAACCCAGCACTAAAGAATAAATGTCTGGCCTAGCAGAAGCCTTCAGGACTCAGCTCTAATGCTAGTGCCCCTGTGGCTGGCTTGACTTCAATTAAGTTGGCAGGTGGGTGCCCTGCTGTACAGGTTGCTTAATCTTTTAAATATCCTCTTTGTGAGAATTCAATCGTCTTGTTATGTAGCTCTTGAAGAATGTGCAAAACATTCAGAAAACAGTCCTCAAATCTTTGAAAGAACGTCCTGTTTGGAATGGCAAACATAATTGTGCCGACTTTGAGACAGTTAAGAGTATTTGGTAACCCTCCTCTCAAGGATACAATATTTCCTTTCTTGGAGGTGAGAAAAGAGTTGAGAAACTAAATTGACTTAGGAGTCAAAATTGGACTCAGGTCATTTATTACATAAAACTAGATTTGCCTCCAAACTTTGCACTATGTTTTTGTTTGTTTGTTTTGAGATGGAGTTTTGCTTTTGTCGCCCAGGCTGGAGTGCGATCTCGGCTCACTGCAACCTCCGCCTCCCCGGTTGAAGCAATTCTCCTGCCTCAGCCTCCTGAGTAGCTGGGATTACAGGCGCCCACCAACACGCCCGGAACATTTTACCATTTTTAGTAGAGTCGGGGTTTCGCCATGTTGGCCAGGCTGGTCTCTAACTTCTGACTTCATGTGATCCGCCCGCCTCAGCCTCCCAAAGTGCTGGGACTACAGTGCACTGTGTTCTTAACGTGCCTTTAGATTCCCCAGTTCCTAATATCAGGCACACAGAAAAACGGAGGTGAGAGTGTTTCCTGGCTTCCTCTTTGAGATGCCTTTAGGGCCCCCTAGTGGCTGCTTTAAGACCTCAGGTTTCTTAGGATTCGGTCTCCTTGACCCTAATAAAAAATAAGAGACCTTTCCGAATCTCTTCAGTGACAGGTACAATAACTGTGTGGAGATAAACAGATAACAGTTGGTTTAGATAGCTCATTTTTTTTTTTCATTTTTCAGTTCTCAGCAAAAGCTGCGCTCATTCTTTACAAATAACAGATATATCACTTTACATATTTTATTCTGCATTCTCATACTATATCGTAGCGGAAATCCTTTTAAGACATTTGTATCTTGGTTGTGTCAAAAGGCTATAATTCCTGGTAACTACATCCTACTTCAGGGTTTCCATGTATATGTATATACATATTTAGTTGCTTGGACTGGGGAGTTGAGGAGCTTTACAATTTTCCAACGTAATACTTTAAACCTGGGGCTTGATGTACTAACCAGAGGACTCAGTATGTGGCACATTTCAGTCTGACAACATTAATATCATTTAGAGCATTAGCTATGCCACTGACTGCAGGCACTTGCAACCTTGATTTGATAAAACAAAGCTTTTCCACATTTAAGGTGCTTATTGACCAATGCAAGTACACTTTGTGAAATCCACTAATAAGGCATTATGTCTTCAACGTGCCTTACTGACCAGCGTGAACATTGCTAGCTCCCACACCATGGTCACATTTTTCTTTCTTAGATTCCATCTAGAGAATGTACTACACTTGAGTCATTATAATGGAGATGTTTCTTTCCCGGAAGCTTATCTTTTAGTTTCTGATGTTATTCAACTATTTCTCCTTCGCTTGTAAATTTCAGGTCTTTTCCTTTCCTCAGTCACGTTACCTTTATTAATATGCTAATGTGCTGTAATAATGCATTTTACACCACTAATGAAGTGAAGCAAAGCAAAACGTAAAAAGAAAGTACAAATTCTCCCTTTAACTTTACCCGGTTCCGGGGAGGGGGTAGGGGTGAGAGAGGAGGAAGAGAGTAGGAAGGAAGGACATTCGGGCGGCAAAAAAATAAAAATGATCCCCTTGTTTTCAGCGCGTTCTGGAACAGAGCTGCACGTCAGAGGAAGAACTGAGCAGCCTTCGAGCTAAAAGACTTGGCATTAAACTTTGACACTTTAATGGTCTCTAGGATATTAGATAGTATTTTTTCATATAATGTTCTTCTCCGACACGGTAATGGCATCAGAAACAGAATCTGCTATGCCTGCCAACGTGCACGGTGAGGCTCATCGCCGCAGAGGTAAGACAGCAGGACCCCAGCTTCGCAGTTAACTTATCCCGAAGCTCCAAAGCAAACGTCTTTTACTTCTTCGCCGGGGACGCTGCTGTACCACCGCTGCCTCCCTTTCGCATTCTGCTGGGCTCGGTCAGCCGCTGAGATTAGGTAAACAGCGCTCCGGAGCCGGGGCAAAGCGGGCGCTGCTGCTGCTGGTGGGGGTCGTTGTTTCACGAGGCTGGAGGGAAGGGGGATGGGAGAAGGGTCCCAGCTCGGTAAAGCCAAAGGCCGAGAGTGTGGTTACCGAGGCGGGAGCCAGGTCCGGAGCCAAGCAGGGGCCAAGCCTCCGAAGCCCTTGCCGCCCCACCCCCCCAGCCCGACCTCGAGGAGTGGGGTCAGCTGGGCAACCCAAGCTCGGCGGCCCTTTCCCGCGCGCCCCCTCCCCAGCCCATCCTTCCCCTGCCCCTTCCAAGAACTAGGGTGGGCTTCCCGCTGCCTCGCTCGAGTCCTGGAGAGCGGAGAGGCGCGCAGAGGGAAGGCAAAGACCCGGCGGCCCGCCCGGCTGGGGAGAGGTGGAGACCCGGGGGGAAGGGGACCCCAGAAGCCCTGGGACCGAGCTGCGGAAAAACCCGGGAGCTGGATCGCGCGCCCGGAGCTCCGGTCTCCGAGTCCGAGTTGTGCAGCTCTCGGCGTCCTCTTTCTCTCCCTGCCTCTCTGCTTTCGCCTCCTCTGGGTCTTCTCTCGAGGGCATCCTCCTTCCATCCATTCTCACACCCCCGCTCCTGTGCCCCGACCCATTTCACCCACTTCTCCTGTGGCTCGGGAGGACTCTCCGTACCCCCACCCTGGTCCCTAGAACTGGGAGGCTGGAAGTCCATTCAAGGGATGTTGCGCGCCGGGTTCTTATGCCAAGAGGGAAAGAGCGAGAATAAAATCAGCAGGGGAGGGGCGTGTTGTGCGTGCATGGGGTGTGTGTTTGGGGTGGAGGAAAAAGAAATGTAGTTTCCTCAGAGGAAGAGGAAGCCTTGGACAGGATTCTTGGATACCGATCCCAGAAAGATGCCGTCAGAGCCCTTCGGCGGGGCTCCTCACAGACTCCGGCTGCCCCACAGCATGCCCACCTCCGAGAGAAGCTGCGACCCGAGGCGGGGAAACTTCCTACTTCTCACGACGGCTGTTTTGTGCAATTTGGGGAGCAGGCTGCATGGTCCTGCAAGCCTGCGAGCCTCTCTACCACGGCAGCTGCGGGCCCGTCCCGCTTCCCTTCCCCCTTTTTCCGCGAGGCACGCCAAGCCCGAGGCGGCCGGGAGCCGCCGGGGTTGGGGGAAGAAGGGCGGGGAGCTCCCAGCTTGCACCCTTTCATCCCGACCCGGCCCGGGATCCCGGCTCCGGGTGTTGCTTCCGCCTGCCTGCCAGCCAGCGAGCTGAAGAAGCACCGGGGCGGAGTCTCGCCGGGGGGCGGAGCCTGTGCGGGGGCGAACTCTCGGTCCGCGCGGCTGCGGCGCTTGCCATTGGCCGGCCGCTCGGTCACGGGGTCGGGGGCGGGCGCCGACGCGGGCGCCGGCCCCGCCCCCGCTCGGAACCCAGCCCCGGCTCGCGGTCCCCCCCGGCTGCACAGACATGACACAGACACACAGTCACTGCAGCTGCTGAGCGAGTCCGGCGCTCTGGGCACGCGGAGGCGGCGGGGCCAGCCCGGAGCCCGGACCCCAGCGCCCGCCCCTGCCGGTTCCCGCGCGGCGGCCCACTCCTGGCCGGGCGCGGGAGGCGGGGATCGCGCGCCGGCTCCGGCCAGCGGCGCCCGGCTGCCCGCGGCGGCTGCAGCGGCCGCCCAGCTCCGAGCGCCGGGCGCTCCGGGAAGCCGGCGCATCTCGGAGGCGGCGGCGGCGGCCAAGGCCGGCGAGCGCTCCCGGCGGCGGGGGCCGCCCGCCTCGGCTCCCCGCACCCACCGCGCCGCGATCCACTCGCCGCGCCTCCGCTCCCGTGACCTTCCCGGGGCGCCTCCCCTAGCCCCGCGCCCCCGGCCCCGCGCCCCAGGCCGGGGCGAGGCCTTTTCCGGCGCTTCTTTCCCGCGGAGCCGCGGGCGGGCGGCGCAGGCCCTGGGGGAGAGCGCGCCGCGGCCGGTTGCAGCCCCCCCCGCGCCGCCGCGTTCGGCGCCCGGCCCGGCCAGTCTGCTCCTGCCCCGCCGCCGCGCCGGAGCCCGGGCGCCCGAAGCTGGGGGCGCGGCCGCGCTCGTCTCGCCGGGCTGTTCGCGGGCAGGCCCTGCCCTGAAGGGACGAATCGGCTTGGAGCGCGGGAGGTGGAGTCGGCCCCGGCGGTCGCTCCCTGGACCCAACCCGAGGCTGACCCAGGCCCCTGCCCATGCGGGGCGCCCCTGGCTCGGAAGAGTCCCCCGGGCCGGGAGCAGCTCCAGGCAGCGGCCCCGGAGGAAGAGGAAGAAGGGACAGTGCTCAGCTTGGGGGACCCGGACCCTCGCCGCGGCATTTGGAGCCGGGGGCAGTCCCGAACTCTGTGCTTGGCACCGCCGCTCCGAGTAGGGCAGCGCCTGCCGGGACCCTGACCCGGACCCCCTGCGCCTCGTAGGCGGCGGCGCCGCCGCGCCACCCTGTTCTTCCGTGTCTCCCTCTGCCTGGCGGCAGTCACGGCCAAGGTAAGAGCCCCGGAGCGCGAGAGTCGCCGCGGGGGCGCCGTGGTGTGTAGCGCCGGACAAGTTCTCCGAACCTGTGGCTGGTACCCCCTGTACTCGGGATGCCGGCGGGGAGGCCGGGCACACCCTCTGCTGCCCCGGCCGGGAGCCCTGGAGAGGCTGGAGGTGGAAGCCCCCAGTCTCCGAAGTCCCCAGGACCCCCTCAGGGCCTGCTCGGCTTCTGGGCACACAGGCTGCTGGCAGGGAGCGAGCCAGGAGGAGTTTCTGGTTAACACCACGAGGGCATGTGACCGATACCCGCACCCCCGGCCCTCTTGTTAGCGGTGAGCACCTGTGGTTCGCGGAGCCTGCCGTGTTTGGAGAGGGCCCTGTTGGGCGGTACGCAACTACCTTTCGTGGTGTGATGCTGTGAATAACTTTTCTTGTTCCTTCTTGCAGACAGTCCTGCGCAATTTGGGGGCGAGCAGCCACAGCTTGCGAGTCCCTCTTTAGGACAGAGTGGTTGGTTGGCATTGCTATCTGTAGGGGGGAAGCCCAGCCAGCATGTCCTTCCTGTTAGTCAAAGCTGCTTGTGAGGAGTGATCAGTGTATAGCTATCCAGACATTCTTGTAAATGTCACTGCTTTTGAAGTTTTGGAGTGAGGACTCCAAAGTTTGTGTATCCTCAAGTTATTTTGTTCATTGCCTTATCCTCTTTTAAATGTTCCTCTTAAGGAACCTCAGTTGTACAAGCCTGTCCTTGCCTGTTTGAAATTTATTAAACCTGTGAGCTTCCCCCAGAACAATCTGATTTTAAATGGGTCACTTCGGAGGGAACAGATTGTCTCTTGCACACTGAATCCATCCCTTGGGTGACCCTGTTTAATGGGGTTGGACTCTTTTTTTTTTTTTTTTTCGTCTCTGTGCTGATGTGCCTCGGTTGAGCAGGTTTCTGCTGAATTCAGAATCCGTGAATTTTGTCACTCAGTCCATTAAAATGATCTCCTGAGGGAGCAAAATAGCAGCTTACATTTTTCGTGAATGTCACTGGAAGTTTTACAGGGTCTTATGTAAGTGCCCAGAGAGAGAGAGAGAGGAGGGAGTGGGGGGAGATCAGGCTCCTGCTTCCTTCAAGGGGAGAAACGGAGGGGGTGGCAGGTGGGGGCGTCCGCCTCCCTGACATGCAGATGCCTTTCTTCTCTGACACAGGTGTGGAGACCTGAAGTGCTTATCATTCCGTGGAGGCAGTCACCTCGGGTTAATTTTTCTTCTCACTTCTCCTGTCTTCCCACCTCAGGAGTCAGCTTTGATAGACTTAAGATAAGGAAAGCTTCTAAATTAAGAAGGGAACAAGTGGTGGTTGTTTCTTCTCCCATCCCTCACAAATGGGTGACATGAATGAATTACTCACTGGCACGCTTGGTCCTCCCTAGGGGTAAAAATAAAAGAAATAAAAACGCCAGCTTTAAGATTTCACACATCTCTTAGTGTACCTTTATTGTTCAAGAGTACTTTAGTGAAAATTGCTTGTGGAGAACACATTTATCGAGCCTGTCCCTGTTAATTCCATACCAGGAAGAAAACTCACTCGAACAGAGAGGCAAAAATCACCAAGATTTAGAGGTTAGTGGGTTTTCAAGAGTGGCGAGGAAAGGAATCAAATCCCCCTGGCAGGAGAGAGAGGTTTTTAACGGGAAGATCGGATTGCTCTGGAGTGAGCAGTAGCTGCTGACAAGTGTGGGCCCTCCTGCTTCACTTAATGAAGTGTGCTGGGGTGTGGATTAACTTTTTGATGTGAGCCAATGCAGATTCCTTTGGCTTTTAAACCATACCTGGAAGGGCCTTAGAAATGAAATGAAAGGTTTTTTTCATCTCATCATAGGTCTCGGAAGTGCTTCCATCTCTTGGGAAGGTTGTGACGAAGGTTTCCTTTGTTTCTGGGTTCCTGAGCTGCGCTTTAAAGTTGATGCACAGTGCAGGGAGGGTGCGTCCTGTAGTGTCGCCATCCTTCAGCCACCTACAGTAGCAGGACACTAGGGGGGACTAGTTATCTTTTCCACCATCGAAGAAGAAAACACCAGGGCCCATGTTACTGTGGTTTATCTTGAGGGTTCATGAGCCTGTGGTTTATGTTGAGGGTTCGTGAGACTGTGGTTTATCTTGAGGGTTCCTGAGATGAACTTTTTGGGATCTAGTACATGCTTGCACTAGTGAGTGGATTCTGAGTGCCTAAGGGATGGGCCTGCTCACATCTAAATTGTCATTTGGACAACTCAGAACCAGTTAACTGCAAAATGTTATGTGACATTCTGAAAAGACTCAGTTATAATCTCTAAGTATTTAAGGACTACAAAAAGGCTCTATCCTTTGAATATTAGACCATCCTAACTTTAAGTTCCCTAACAGTTTGTAATCAACACTTTTGGTGTTTGGTTTTTGACTGCATATTCCCTGCAGTCATCATAAAATCACATGGCTTCAAAATGTCTCTGCAGTGGACTCCATCAAACTTAAAATTCCCCTTAAAAATACATTCCGTATACTTAGAGATGTTAACATAACATTTGACGGTGTAGTTGCACTTCCACCTCAGACGCTGTCTGCACTTTTAATAGTATGAAATCATTAATGTCCACAGCCCTTCCAGCAGAATTGGAAGATAATTCTACTTCCCTGAAGAACACTGACTGCCCCATTGCCTAGGTTTACCCAAGTAGCTAAGTCTTATCAAAGCTGATCCCAGAGGTGGGAGTAGCGGGGAGACAGGAAAGATGCAAGGTAGAGGCCAAGAAGAGCCTGCTTAGTTTAGAATACTGTCACAAAAACAGGCAGATATCACCAAGATGTTGGTCACACTGGATTCTAAAAGGCCCAGTTCAGCATGTAGAGTTAGACTCTGTTTGAAACCTGTGAACCCACCTGAGTTATTACTTTTCCCTTGAACTCTGGGGTCTGGTAGACGGCATTTGTGACCCTTTACCCATACGTGTAGTGCACATTTAGGTAGTTGAAGGGGAGCTATTGTTGTGGTCTAGGAAAAATGGTCAGCAGACAGCTTTATTTCTAACATTAAGACTTTATAGATTGATTCTCTTGGGCACAGTACAGCCAAGGGGTAAGAGATTGGAACAGGAAAATACCATCGCATTTGCCATTGAGCACCAACGATTGAAGACCGATCCTGTGGAGAATATATGCTGTCATCCTGAGACATGAATGAAGTCTTATGAATTTGATGGAAGCCAGGTGGCAGAAGTAGAGGCAGGAGGCTGGCCTTCCTTACGGTCCGTGAACAAGATGAAGGTGTCTTTTTGGCTAGAGATTCTCAGAAAGGAGGAGCATACTGCATTGGGGGTGGGGGATATAAGACCCAAAAGGCTGAGAGCTCTAGACACCCTGCCACTGACACACCTCGGGGATACAGCCACCTTGGAAAATCTGCTTAGTGTTGGTGAGGTCGCTCTACATGGAGTATTTGCCATTGAGAGGTGTTCAGCATTTCTCTGTCACATTGGCGTATGGAGAGTAGCAGGCAGCAACGAGTGAAAGGCTTCGTTAAATGTATTTTATAAGACTTTTCATCTTTTCGTTTAACAAATAATAATAGACCATCTACCCTGTGGCAGGTGCCATGCTCTGTGTGGAGGTTACAGAGTCAGGTTACATTTAGCTTCTAGTCTTTTATGGGAGGCAGACATTCAGCTATTTGTTTGTTTGTTTGTTTTTTCTTTTTTTTTTGAGATGGAGTCTTGCTCTGTCAGCCAGGCTAGAGTGCAGTGGCATGATCTTAGCTCACTGCAACCTCCGCCTCCCGGGTTCAAGCAATTCTCCTGCCTCAGCCTCCCGAGTAGCTGGGATTACAGGCGCCCGCCCCCACGCCCGGCTAATTTTTGTATTTTTAGTAGAGGCGGGGTTTCACCATCTTCGCCAGGCTGGTCTAGAACTCCTGACCTTGTGATCCACCTGTCTCGGCCTCCCAAAGTGCTGGGATTACAGGTGTGAGCCACCGTGCCCGGGCCAGACATTCAACTATTATTACCAGGTAAGTACTATCCTGCAGACTTGTTCAAGGGATGAGTTTGAACTTCCCAGGAGAGTAGGGAGGAAGGGGATCACAGGCAGAAAGAACAGCATGGAAACCCTAAAGTATCTATTGTGGTGTGTATGGAGAATAGTCATAGTTAGTGTGGCTGGAAGGTGGGATGTGCCCGAAGAGGGAAACGCGGTGTTAGAAGAGAAATAATTTAATAAGATTCCATGCTGAGGACTGTGCCCCCGCTTCTTGCTCTGTGTATTCAAATAGTGGCAAGAATGGTTGCGAGATAAAATCTGAGCATGCTAACTGGTTATCCCACATTGTTATTAAAAACAGAAAATTTTTTCTTTTGTCCGTTATCATTCTACGTACAGCATTTTGCCTATTCTTTAAAAAACTATTAGCAATGCAAATAAAGAAAGGGTCCCTTATCAACCCTAAGTCTGCCCTCTTGTGTACATGAATTACACCTGGCACTTTCATTATGTCATTATGCAGCAGTGGGAAAAATGACAATGTTACTTGACAAATGATATAATATGAAAAAAAAAACACTTAGGTGAGAACAAATTCCATTTTATCAGATATGCTCTGGGTAGAGTTATGGTTGTGTTTAACACCTGAACAAGATTCATATTATGATCATTTCAGTTCTAGTCTAAACTTCCTTTGCTGTTAGAAAAGAAAGAGTTTTGAATATTGAGAATGGGAGGGTAGGTGGGCATGTGTGCATATGTGTGTTTCTTGGGATGAGGAAACTATGGTGAGGAAGAGCAAGCAACAGTGTAACTGCCTGAAGGATATTAGATAGAGAATGTGGAAAATCACAGTTGTAAAAGCAGTCTCCAGGGCCAGGTATATTTAGTATAGTTTTTAGAAACAGCAGCCAGAAGGATAATGGGAATAAAAGTTAGAAGCCTCTCTCTCTCTCTCTCTCTCTGTGTGTGTGTGTGTGTGTGTGTGTGTGTGTTTGTGTTTGTATGTTTGTCTTGTCTCTATCATCCATCCCTATGTTGATTGGGAGACAGGATGCTTTAATCAAGCCCCAGGGGATCAGGGGTTTAGTCTTACAGCATCCTGTGCTAACTTGCTGTGTGACCTTAGAATATTTCTTGGCATCTCTGGGCTTCAGGCGCTGTCTCTATACATTAGTGTGTTACTGATCTTGTAAGTAGGAATTTAGAGGCCCAGGGAGGGAAAGGGCTTGCTTCAGTCAGTTAGCTTAGCCTCTACACTGAGCACTCTTTAGGTTGTCTAGTTTTCTCCTTCTTAAATGGAAAGAAAGAGGCCTGACCAGTTCATAGGTGCACTCTTCCTTGAAATATAAAGCACTGCAAATACACAAGGCTGAAGAAAAGAATCACAAAGTCTTTGTGATTGGTCATAGCCATTTTCATAAAGCAGCAGCCAGACTTGCCAGCTAACTTATTACCTATGGTGGAAACCCGTTAGTTCTGAAATGTTACACTGTTCTTTGACCACTATTTGAGAATTAAGTGCTTTGTGATTAAAAACAACAGCAACAATGCTGAATCTTGTAATTATTTCATAATTAAGTAAATAAAAGCTGAGGTGACCTCTCCGGATTTTGCAAAGCCCTGAATGTAACTTGGAAGGGGAAACCCATTCATTTGGCCTGAACGGGAGATTACCTTGTAGGGGAGCTGCTGGGTGAATATCAAAGGTCTTTTGAAGAAAAACAGAGTAGAAGAGCAATTGGGTAGATACACAAGTCAGGAAAAATGCAAAGTGACTTAGTTTGATGCCTCCAAATGTGTGAGTTGCTAGAAAGAGGGCTCCTCACTATGGCTGATCTCCTGGGGGTAGAGGAAAGAGGAGATCTGAAGTAAGTGCAGTGTAAATAGAAGGTTTGTTACATTCTTATTTGGGAGTTGAAGCCAAGTGGAGGAGTGCTGTATTTTAGGAGAAGTGGGCATATAAAATGTGATCTTAAAACTAAATAATTTGAGATAAGTTAATTGCAGTACAAAAAGATTTTTACCTTACTAAAGGGATTCATAGTGAGTCTCCTTTTAATAGCTAATTCCGTTATTATATTTCAAATTATTTGATGAACACAATCATGATAGACCCTTTTGGGAGCCTCACCTGTTATGCAAAACCAAGGACTTTTCGGTTGGGCACAGTGGCTCACCCCTGTAATCCCAGCACTTTGGGAAGCCGAGGCAGGTGGATCACGAAGTCAAGAGATTGAGACCATCCTGGCCAATATGGTGAAACCCCGTGTCTACTAAAAATACAAAAAAAAAAATTAGCTGGGCATGGTGGCGCGTGCCTGTAGTCCCAGCTACTCGGGAGGCTGAGGTAGGAGAATGGCTCGAACCTGTGAGGCAGAGGTTGCAGTGAGTTGAGATGCCGCCACTGCACTCCAGCCTGGGGAAAGAGCAAGACTCCTTCTCAAAAACAAAAAGCAAACAAAAAAAACACCAAAGACTTCTCAAACATAAACGAATGTTTTAACAAATAACCCGCTAGGAGCCTAATATTCAACTGTATTGCAGAAAGCAGTACAGTGGTTATGTAAACTGTCATTACCGCTAACCTAACACATGGAGTTACATCACTTACTTACTTTTGGCAGATTACTTATTTAACTACTGTTCTGCCTGGAGATAACAGTACTCACCTACCCACCTTCATAAGTTCCTTAACCACCCGCACATTCTACCTCTAAGAATATATCAAGAACAAAAGTGGTTTAAAAAGTAAATTAGGTAAGAGTTTCCAGGATTCTGAGTTTTTATAATTGCAGAGACATGGAATTCATTTTGTTCTGCTTGAGTATACAGGAGAGGCGGTGTGTATGAGACATTAAAAAATATCAAAATCAGGCCGGGCTTGGTGGCTCACGCCTGTAATCCCAGAATTTTGGGAGGCCGAGGTGGGGGGATCACCTGAGGTCAGGAGTTCGAGACCAGCCTGGCCAACATTGTGAAACCCTGTCTCTACTAAAAAATACAAAAATTAGCCGGGCGTGGTGGCGCACGCCTGTAATCCCAGCTACTCGGGAGGCTGAGGCAGGAGAGTCACTTGAACTCCAGAGACGGAGGTTACAGTGAGCCGAGATCACAGCCATTGCGCTCCAGCCTGGAAACAGTGAGACTTCGTCTCAAAAAAAAAAAAACATGCTTGTCTGCTGGTTCTTCCTTCACTGTAACAGAAATATCTAGGGCTTTTTTTTTTTTCATTGTTGTTCTTCCTTTATCTCTTATGAGGCTTTCCAAAAAAGATTTTGTTCTAGGAATGGAATAAACTGTAGGGCGTTTAAGGCTTCAGAGGTAATTTTGGGCAACCTGGAGTTGCAGGTAATCACAGGCTGGGGCTGGAATTGAAAATGCAGTCTCACCCATAATTTGAGCCTCTTTTGTCGCATTATGGGGCTGTGCCTTGGACAGGCAGCAGACGCAGATGGAGATGGAACCCTGACTACTGAGAGAGCTTTGCTTTTAACATAGTCCTTTTCTGAATTACCAAGGCCAATTGGGAAGAAAGGACTTGCCGATCTTTCCAGCTCTCCATGGTAGCCATAGAATTTAGGAAGATTTACAGCAGAACGTGGGCATCTAGGGATTTCTTTCTTCCTTTTCTTTTTTTTAAATTTTAAATTCAGAAGGGAATCTTGGGCTCTTGAGTGTTATTCTGTGGTTAGGGATTGCTGCGGCTTCCTTGGATACATTAAATGCATATTTGTTATTATTGAGTAAGGTTAACCTTGCTGCGGCTAACTCGAAGCCATCCCCTCCCCTTTTGTTTTTAGAACAGTTGCGTAGATCCTTCATGTGCCAACACTGTTTGTTTAAGAGCCTTCTTGACTGATGTCAGCTCTCATCTGGAAATGGCATTTTGTGGTTGTTTCAGAAGCCAAGGGAGGCATAGAGGCAAGCCCATAGGCCGGTGGGGCTTTACCTTTCTTCAGGAGTGGTGCTGGTGCTTAGTAGGTCTGCAGTTAGTAAGTAGTTGTGTCCACACTGAATGATTTGTTTTGTGAATGAATGGTCATGTTTTCATTACTGGGGTGGAGGTGATGCGGGAGGGAGAGGTGGGTGAGTAACAGTAGACTTAAATGGTGATGAGATAGACTTGAGCTCCTCAAGGCGTCTCCTAGCAGCTTTTGTTTTAAAAATGTGAAGGATATTTCAGATCAGCAGAATGAATTCTCTGAAGGATCATTGTTGTGGTTCAAACATTGATGGCTTTGTAAAAAGGCAAGGAGAGTACAATACCGAAATGCGTGCTTTCTTTCCTCCGAGTTTGTAGGGATTTTAACTTATCTGGAATGAGAAGAATGGACATGCTGTAAAGCTTGTTCACATTTACATGACAAGTTGCCTTGAAAATGCCTGGAAAGACATTTTCAATATGAGAAACTTTAGGATGGTTGTTGTCCAGCATGGATGACGATGATTATGAAATGACTTAGGTGTAGACCGGCGCTCCCATGTCAGGAGGATGAAGTGGACGTGGGAGAATGGAGGGAGGGACTCAGTACTTGGTCCCCAGCAGGAAGAACTCTCCTCGACCATATTGGTGTCTTTACCCATTTCCCAATATGACTCCCTCTCTGCTGGGTTTCTCAGTTACAAGAGCACTCTCTGATGCCTTCCGTCTGTAAGGCAGAGCTACTGTATTGAGAGACTACCAAGGCTGGAAGAGACCTTGGAGCCCCACTAGACCAACACCTTCATTTTACATCCGTAGAAACTAAGGCCAGACCTAAGGGAGGTCAAGATGATTATTCAGAGGGGAGGTGGAACCAGAACCTAGGCTCCCTGGTCCTCAGCTCTCCCTTCTCTGCAGCATGCTCTGCTTCCATCCAATCTGCACCCAAAGCACGTTCTTCCAGTGTTTCTTTTGTGCCAGGCACTCTCTCATTCGGTCATTTTTGTTATTTCATTCTCACAGCAACCCTGGGAGGGGGATGTGCTCACTCTCCCACTTCACAGATGTGGAAACTGACGCTTGTGCAAGGCCCACAGCCATGAAGAAGGAGCCAGGACTCAACTCGCAGCTGTTCAGACTCCTCAGTTTGTTGTTCCAGGACCGACCTTGCCCCTGGCTTCCCTGCCTCTCTGACCTCGCTGTATTTCCTAGGACTCCTCTCCAGGTTTTCTTTGTTCCTAGCCTACTAGGCTTCACCTAAAAATGCCACTTGTTTTCCCACTTGAGTGGCCTTGTTACGCTGCTTTTTTTGCTGGATCCAACCCCCCATCCTCTCTCTTGTCTCTGGCTGAAATCGTTCCTGACTGTAGGCTCTGTGACACTGTCTCTTTGTGGGGTTTCCTTCACTTGCTCAGCCAACGTTGATCAAGCTCCTACTGTGTGCAGGTCCTGGCTTGACAGCGGAACACAGAGGTGCAGAGTTACTCATCGTCCATTCAGGAGCCTCGTCTTGGTGAGGGAGGAAGAGTCTCGTAAGGGGATGAGTGAAAGTCAAAGGGCCCAGAGGACAGTGTGTTGGGTAGCATTCTGCTTGAAGAAGTCAAGATGAGAATATTAGATTTGGGTCTTAGTGATTAGGAGATGGGAGGATAGGGTAGGAGGAGGCGTCACCAAACAGCAAACCAAATCAAAGGCTGTGCTTGGCCATCTTCAACTAGGCATTGTCAGTATCTACATACTTTAATTCTTATTCCTTCACTTAGGTATTAGAGGCTGTGAGTACGTTACACCCATCCTTATATCTATGAAAGCACCTTGCGAAGCTCTTAGTACTTACGACTCCTCCACTCAACATTTATTATATTAAATTCAGAGCTTCCTGTCCCTGCCCTCGAGGGACATAGTTGGAGAGCTTGCAAAAAATGTGTCATAAGTTAAGCAACAATAGAAGATTAAATGAACAGTTACGAGCAACAATAGAAAGGAGGTAGCAGTGTAGTGAATGGATGTGTGCACTGTGGTGGCTGAACACGGATGGGAAGTCAGAGGTGGGAGCTTCCTTTAGCTTCTCAAACTCAAAGGAGGGGTGGGACTTGAGTTGGGTCTTTGGATACAAGACAGTTAAAATCTGAATGGAAGGATTAAGGGAGGGTAGTTTGGCAAGCACAAATATATTTTTTGGGTTGGAGAGGAAGCCAGCTTGGGTTTCTGTTAGCAAGGAGTTGCAGATGAAGTTGGTGAGTTAGGCCGGGCGTGGTGGCTCATGCCTGTAATCCCAGCACTCTGGGAGGCTGAGGCGGGCGAATCATGAGGTCAGGAGATCGAGACCATCTTGACTAACGCGGTGAAACCCCGTCTCTACTAAAAATACAAAAAATTAGCTGGGCGTGGTGGCGGGCGCCTGTAGTCCCAGCTACTCGGGAGGCTGAGGCAGGAGAATGGCGTGAACCCGGAAGTCAGAGCTTGCAGTGAGCCGATATCATGCCACTGCACTCCTCCAGCCTGGATGACAGAGCGAGACTCCGTCTCAAAAACAAAAACAAAAACAAAAAAAAAAAAACAAAAGAAGAAGTTGGTGAGTTAGGGGCTGTGGGCTTTGGGAAGGCAGGGTGACTTTTCATCAGGGGGATGTGGTGTGCTAAAGGCCCTGGTTTTGGAAGGTGCACCTGCATCGTGCCTGGGACAAATTGAAGCGGGGAGAGATGGAGGCTGGGAGACAGCTGGACAGGATTTTGTACCAGTTCATATATGAAGTTCTAAGGGCCGCCAGGCTGGAACTGTTACAGGAGGACAGAAGCCCAGGGAGGCTTGTGAATTTTTCTCTGTTGAATCACTGGCTCACAAACATTTGCTTGATATGGAAGTCTGAGATGGCTTTCATTGCCCACTGTAATATGGCCTTGTTGGAATAAAGTCCACTCGTGACACAAGCAGCAAGTCTTAAAATAGCGCTTTCTCCTTTGGCTTGGCTTGGGGTAGAGCTTTGGTGAAAATACACTTTTCGGGGCCTCTCTTATTGGGGGTTTGTTCAAATGGGCTCAGGGTTATAGAACAACCTTTTTCCTAGCCTTGGATGGCACCCAATAAGGGGTATAATAGAGAAAATTCTTCTTTTCCTCATGAGTGGCTCCTAAAGCAGCTGCGTGGAGCTGAGAGCAAAGTGCTTGGAGCTCTGACATCTGGGTTCTGGATTCACCTTAAAAGTGAAGCCAATTTCTTTGCTTCCTGTGACGGCTGGTGTTTCTCTGTCTGAGGAGGAGCTTGCTTTGAGATTACGGTACACACTTTTCAGCATTGTGGGGTAAGCCATTCTGGATAACAGAATTTCTCAAATAGGATAATCCAATCCCTTACAGACAGCAAGTCTTTATTTTTAATCTTTAAGGAATGAGGGTTTCTCTAGGATGTTCTGTGTACTTACCCTCACTGGCTCACCATCAGCCCCTGGAAAACTTCAGCTGTCATATTGGGACGCACAAAGCTTGTTATGAACCAGCCCTGCCTTTCTCTGCAGTCTCACCCCCCACCCCTGGCCACCCCCCATTTCATGCATCATCAATCTGTAACTTAATCATTTTCTTCTTTACTGATTTTTTTCCCCCTAGACCTGTCAAGCTGTGCACATACCCCTCCTGCCCGGTAAGCTCTTTCCTTCTTTATCTGCCTGGGACACTTGTGTTTTTCCTTCAGAACCCAGCTCAGGTAGTCCTGCCTCTTAAGCTTTTCCTGGTACTGAGCACTGAACCGCATCTGCACCTCAGTCTGACTTCTGCAGCTGCACTTTCTGCGCCGTAACCTGACTGTTTTGCTAGAGAGCGGGAGCCTTTCAGTAAAACTGCATCTCAGGGGATCTTCTAGGTTTTACCGTATGCCTGGAACATGCAGTCAATACAATAAATGGTTGTTGTTGTCGTTTTAGATTTCAGTGAATTTGCTGGCCAGGCATAATGTAACCCTTTCTGATGAAACCTCGAGTGTCATACTGTGCTGCAGTGGTGGATGGGTTGATGTGAATTAGCCTCTCAAAGTATTCCGGAATCTAAAGAAAACCTTCCCCCTCTCACCAATGACCAGAATGGCCATTGGGCATTCCTGGGGTACACTGATGCCTTCAGGAAATCTGGTGGTGCTGGTGAGGTAGAATGCATCTTAGTCATCACTGCAGACCTAGAAATGTCTTCACACAGGCCGGGCACGGTGGCTTACGCCTGGAATCCCAGCACTTTGGGAGGCCGAGGCGGGTGGATCACGAGGTCAGGAGATTGAGACCATCCTGGCTAACATGGTGAAACCCGGTCTCTACTAAAAATACAAAAAAAAATTAGCCGGGCGTGGTGGCGGGCGCCTGTAGTCCCACCTACTCAGGAGGCTCAGGAGGCTCAGGAGGCTCAGGAGGCTGAGGCAGGAGAATGGTGTGAACCCGGGAGGCGGAGGTTGCAGTGAGCCGAGATCGCGCCACTGCGCTACTCCAGCCTGGGTGACAGAGCGAGACTCTGTCTCAAAAAAAAAAAAAGAAATGTCTTCACACAAGCTCTCAAGGGCTGAGTATTGAAGTGGAGGATTAGCAGGTAGGAGGACTTGAAGAACCTTGTACCTTTTATGTTTAATAGTATTCCCCATTTAAAGAGCCAGATGCAGAATGGCAGTCATAATTGATGGAGAAATTATCAGACGGTGATGGGGACTGGCTAGGGAGGATCGAATAAATTTGTACAGGAGCTTAGCAGCAGTGCCTAAAGACTCTTCTCCACATAACCACATGTTTATGTTAGAATATTTAGTATTGCCTCTAGTATTCGTGAGGTCCATTTGGGTTTTTATGGCACTGCCCTTGTAAGCCAGGCGTGAGTGCTGCATGAATAGGTTTGCTTAGCAAATCACAGAGGAGTGACAGAGGAGCCCTGGGCTTATCAGAAGGTTTGTGTGATCCAGGCACTAGCAAAACTTTATGAACTTGCACTTGGCACGTGGTGTTGGTTATATGGTTCAGGAAGCCCTACTGCTTCTCCAGTAGTGGTCTGATTTAATCCATACCAAGGGGTGCTTGTTCTGGGTCTTAGCTTTTGCCATTTTCCTTTTTCTTCTGCTTGGAATTATCTATAACTCCTTTGGAAATACAGCATTTTTGAGCTCATTAAATTTGTTAATGTGTGTATTATGTTGAGAAAGCACTCAGTTATTTAGAGTTGCTTCATTCCCTTTCCCTTCATCTCTTTGCCTTCCCCACCTTAGAGTAATTGTGCTTGGTTAACCAGGAAACCAAGGGCTCCTGGGGATGAAGAAGAGGCCAGTCTTTCTCTTCTTAGCCCTGTCCAGAGATCTCAGAAAATTTGCAGAGGCCCTGAAGGTAAAAGCAAATGGTTGCCCACTAATCACCTGAGGCAGTTTTTCAGGAGTTTTCTGTCTACCTTGCACTTTTCTCTCATAGGAAATTTGGGCTCTGACAGTTAAGAGAGATGGCAGCCAATGAATGGGATAGGAAAGGCCCCTTCCTTAGCAGTTTGTAAGAAAAGGTACTGAGGTGTGCTTTACAAGTATTATGCCTTTTGACAGCTCTCTAAGCTGAGTAGTTTCATTTTACAGCTAAGGAAACTGAGGCTTGGAGAGGTTATTTGCTCAAGCAATAAAGCCCAGAGACTGGAAATGAATTTTGTTTTCAGAATATTTGCTTTTAATCTCTGTCCTATAATCCAACAACCCAGGTGTCCTAATACTGGAAATATACATACCCCTGGGAAATACATGAAGACTTTTCATGGAGTATGCAGATGTGGATACTTCTAAGAAAATAAATTTTCACATCTCCAGCCTCACATATGTGCCCTTCCCTGAAATTGATCAGCCTGAGATGATCCCTGTCTGGTCCACGGTTCTCCCAATCCTCCTTTCATGGTTATCCTCCCTCATTTTGTTTATTTTTATTTTTATTTAATTAATCAATTTATTTATTTTTGAGACAGAGTCTCGCTCCGTTGCCCAGGCCGGAGTGCAGTGGCGCAATCTCGGCTCACTGCAACCTCCGCCTCCCAGGTTTAAGCAATTCTCCTGTCTCAGCCTCCTGAGTAGCTGGGACTACAGGCGCCTGCCACCACGTCTGGCTAATTTTTGTATTTTTAGTAGAGATGGGGTTTCACCTTGTTGGTCACGCTGGTCTCGAACTCCTGACCTCAGGTGATACACCCTCCTCAGCCTCCCAAACTGCTGGGATTACAGGTATGAGCCACTGCACCAGGCCCTGTCCTCCCTCATTTTATAAAGGCACATCTCTTAGCCAGAACTAGTCTTATTCTGGCATGTTGCTCTGGGTATGAAAATCTCAAGGGTCACCTAACAAAGGGACTATTTGAAATTGGTATGTTGAGGTCCTTCTAATCACAGCAATGCCACATGGTTGCCTCTTTCCCTTTTGTCTTTTACGTGTTGAAACTTGGTGCCAGAAACAGGGCATTTAAGCCCCTTTCTCATGTGAGAGAATAATATAACATTTTCAGTTCTTAAAAAATAACTTGCTGTTGGATTTTTAAAATGAATGATGGCTATCAGATTGCTAGATTCCATTTAAAACTGTGATGTGAAAGTTTTATTTTAAAATGTTAATGTTTACAATATGCTGAAAATTGTATCCTTAGAAATTGTGTAGTTGAGGATGAAAACTTTATGTCAGCCTAAAAATAGGCACGGCAGTACAAGTTTTTCAAATTTCAGAATTCAAGGGCCCAGGCATGGTGGCTCATGCCTATTATCTCAGCACACTGAGAGGCCAAGGTGGGAGGATCGCTTGAGCCTAAGAGTTCGAGACCAGCCCTGGCAACGTAGTGAAACCCCATCTGTATAAAAAACAGTTAAAAAAAATCAGCTGGGCATCCTGGTGCATGCCTGTGGTCCCATCTACTCAGGAGACTGGGAGGTGGATTCCTTGTGCCCAGGAAGTTGAGGGTACAGTGAGCCCTGGTCACGCCATTGCACTCCAGTCTGGGTGACAGAGCAAGATGCTGTCTCAAAAAAAAAAAAAAAAAAAAAGGAATTAAAAAAAAAAAACTTAAATACCTCTGTACTATTCTGTCTCAGATACTGAAGTTTGGAGTGGGTAATTTTTAAGTTGATTTCTGCCATAGACCCTTATACACCTGAATATTTTTTTCCATAAAATTTAAAGGACATCAGTATTTCCTAAAGCTCATACATTGCCCTCCTGATTAAGCACACTTGAAATTCTGTTGGGTTTCAGGATAATGTAAACATCCTTTAAATGTTGATGAAACTTTTACACATGTAGCTAGTCATGTGATCGTGTATGCCAGAGTGCCTCAATGGCTCACTGAGGACTGTTTCAGGTACAAATTATAGAAACCTAACTCATAGTGATGTTAAATAACCATTCCACTTTATCTTCTTAAGTGACTGAAGACCCGAGGGCAGCGTCAGGCAGGGCTGGATCTAAGTCCTCGAACAGCGTCACCGACTCTACTGCCCCACGCCTGGCTCTGCCTTCTTCTGTATTGGCTTGGTTCTCAGGCAGCCTGTCCCCATGGGATGCCAGGAGCCCTGGGTGCACATCTGACTTGCCCCACCATCGTAGCTGAGGGAAAGCATCTTTTTCCCAGTACATCTGGCAAAAGTCCTGGTTGTGGCCAGGCGCGGTGGCTCATACCTGTAATCCTAGCACTTTGGGAGGCCGAGGCGGGGGGACCACGAGGTCAGGAGATTGAGACTGACCTGGCCAACATGGTGAAACCCTGTCTCTACTAAAAATACAAAAATTAGCCAAGCGTGGTGGCACACGCCTGTAATCCCAGCTACTCAGGAGGCTGAGGCAGGAGAATCACTTGAACCAGGGAGTCGGAGGTTGCAGTGAGCCCAGCCTGGCGACAGAATGAGACTCCATCTCAAAAGAAAGCCCATGTTGTAATCTGGTTGGAAGAACCTCCACCACATCCCCGGAGCTGGTAGGAGGAAGTCAGTCCTATTTGAATTGCTTGAAGAGTGGGGAAGGAGTCATTCTAGGAGAGAAGCTGGGTAGACAGAATGGCCGAAAATATTCAGTAGGAAGATTAATCTGAAGATCTAGAAGTCATACAAAAGAGACCACAGGTCTCTATAAAACCTTTTGACTGTCCTGTGTGTACTTCCCCTACCAGCGCCAGTCAACACTTTCCCTGCTAGGATACTCATCCGCCCATTGACACAGTGGTGTCAGTGATACCTTCTATTCCCTGCATCAGTCATTTCAAGACTTTTTTTGTTTTGTTTTGTTTTTTGGAGATGGAGTCTCGCTCTGTCACCAGGCTAGGGTGCAGTGGTGCGATCTTGGTTCACTGCAACCTCCTCCTCCCAGGTTCAAGTGATTCTCCTGCCTCAGCCTCCCAAGTAGCTGGGATCACAGGCGCCCACCACCATGCCCAGCTAATTTTTGTATTTTCAGTAGAGACAGGGTTTCACCATGTTGGCCAGGCTGGTCTCGATCTCTTGACCTCGTGATCCGCCTGCCTTGGCCTCCCAAAGTGCTGAGATTACAGGCGTGAGCCACCGCGCCTGGCCAATTTCAAGACTTTTAAGGACACGGTGAAGAATCTCTGACAATGTGTTTTGCCATTCTTTTTTTTTTTAACTGTTATGTGATTTTATTTATTTTTTAAAAAAATTCAGAATGGTGGAATTCCATCTATTTTAGTTTGCCAGGGTGGCCATAACAAAGTACCATAGACTGTGGAGCTTAAATAATATTAATGTATTTTCTCACTGTCCTAGAGGCTGGAAGTCTGAGATCAGGGTGTTGGCAAAAGCCTCTCCCTTTGGCTTATATGTGGCTGTCTTTTCCTGCTGTTTTCATATGGTCTCCCCTCTGCGTGTGTCTGTGCTCTAATCTCTTCCTGTTATTAGGACATCAGTCATAGTAGATTAGGGCCCACCCTAATGACCTCATTTTAACTTAATTACCTTTTTATTTTTTGAGATGGAGTTTCGCTCTTGTTGCCTGGGCTGCAGTGCAATGGCTTGATCTCGGCTCAGTGCAACCTCCGCCTCCCGGGTTCAAGCGTGTCTCCTCCCTCAGCCTCCCGAGTAGCTGGGATTACAGGCACTCGCCACTGTGCCCAGCTAATTTTTGTATTTTTAGTAGAGACAAGCTTTCGCCATGTTAGCCAGGCTGGTCTTGAACCCCTGACCTTAGAAGATCCACCAGCCTTGGCCTTCCAAAGTGCTGGGATTACAGACATAAGCCACTGCGCCCAGCCTTAATCACCTTTTTAAAGACCCCGTCACTAAATACGGTCACATTTTGAGGTTCTGGGGGTTAGAACTTCAACATACGAAGTTGGGGGAGGGGATGTAATTCAGCCTATAACATCATCTGTTGTTTTAATGCTGTGAATGGGTTGTATTTTGAAAAACATGTACATATCTTGTTTGAAACACAAATTAGTAACAGATTCACCTAGGCAGTGCAGACTGTTTCAGGGATGGTTAAGTTTGATGTAGAGTTTATTATTCGGGTACTGCTTTCCCTTTAATAGGAGTAGAGAGAAGACAAAACGTACAGATGAGAACTGGTTGTGGATTTGCGAAAAATGCTTGGGGTTGGATAGTGAGAATCTGGACCTTTCACCTCCCTAGGCTCAGTGCTGCCGTGTTGGAATTGTAGCATTGTCCTTGCAATTGACAGCTTCTCTGCGATACTCTGAGGGTGGACTTGGGTTGTGAAATGAGTTTTATGACTTTTTGGGGAATGGGATGGGTGGCTGCCCTAAGGCAGGACTCTGTCTTTGAGACCAACAGCTCATCCTATTCTTCCCACTGGAGCAGTGGATTGGCCAAGAGCTCTGCTGGGCACGCCAGCACTCCCGTGTGTGAGAGAGTCTTGTCGTCTTGTTTTTTTGTGTGTCTTACGGACCAAAGTTTTCAAGTGTGGGGTTTTATGAGTCCATTTGGCCCACGTCGTAAAAGTGCCACTGTTGTGTTGGAATGATTTCTGTTCATTCTCAGAGCTAATCTTTAAGGTTCTGCCTGTGACAAACCTGTTCATCGTTCCACTTTATCAAGAAGTTGTCATTGTTCTCGCTCTTGCACTAATTACTGTTTTAATGTGGCTTGTGTGTTCATTGTCTGGTCTGTCTCTGTTTAGAATGAAACATCACAGCCAAAAAGATGTGGGGAGTAGGTAGCAGCTTTCAAATTGTAGTCTTTTCACATTAGAACCCAAAAATCCGCTTCCCAAATTTTGCTTGCCTGCAAACCAGAAATTTCAGTACAATTTTAGAAAGCCATTTGCTATACGATGTGGTTAAAGTATGCATATGTTCAGGTTGAGGGCCTGAATAAGTCATCCATGTATCATCACCCCTTTATCTGCCAACATCGATTGTGTTAACTGATTGGAAGATTGTCATTTCAACATTTTAATTTAATTTTTTATAGAGATGCTATCTCACTCTGTTGCCCAGGCTGGAGTGCAGTGGTGTGATCCTAGCTCACTGCAGCCTTGAACTCCTGGGCTTAAGCGATTCTCCCACCTCAGCCTCTCCAGTAGCTAGGACTGCAGGCATGTGCCACCTCACCCAACTAATTAGGGGATTGTCTTTATGGAAGACATTTCACAGTGTCTGAGAGAGTAGGACATAGGATCAAGAAGTTTTGGCAGAACATGGTTTATTGTTATTTCCATGCTAATATTTCCTGGCTCCCCTTGGGTAAGGTGCTTACTTTCTTTGCATTCATTTCCTATGGCAGCCGTAACAATGTACCACGTGCTGAATGACCTAAAACAACAGACATTAATTGTCTCACAGTTCTGGAGGCCAGAAGTCCAAAGCCAAGGTGTCTGGAGGAGTCAGCAGGACCACACTCCCTCTCCAGTGGCTCTCGGTGAGAACCCTTCTGGTTCTCACTAGCTTCTGGTGATTGCTGGCAATTCCTGGTGATCCCTGGCTGGTAGACATGTCCCTCCAGTCACATAGCTATTTTCTTCTTGTGTGTCTTCACATTGTCTTCCCTCTGTACATGTCTCTGTGTGCAAACAACCCCCCCTCCCTTTTTTTCTGAGACAGAGTTTCACTAGTGTCACCCAGGTTAGAGTGCAGTAGCGCGATCTCGGCTCACTGCAACCTCTGTCTCCCGGGTTCAAGCGATTCTCCTGCCTCAGCCTCCCGAGTAGGTGGGATTACAGGCGTGTGTCACCATGCCCAGCTAATTTTTGTATTTTTAGTAGAGACGGGGTTTCGCCATGTTGGGCAAGCTAGTCTTGAACTCCTCACCTCAGGTGATCTGCCTGCCTCGGCCTCCCAAAGTGCTGGGATTACAGGCGTGAGCCACTGCGCCCAGCCAGCTTCCCCTTTTTATAAGGACAGCAGTTATATTGGATTAAGTTCCACCTAATGACCTCATTTTAACTTGATTATCTCTGTAAAGGCCCTATTTCCAATGAAGGTCACAATTTGAGGTACCAGGGGTTAGGACTTCCTCATGTCTTTTGGGGGATTATTTCAACCCTTAATACTGTCTGAGCTTCATTTTTTTCTCCTCTGTGAAACAAGGTCTGTCATCTGTTCTCGCCTTTAATGTAAGGATCAAACACAAGTTAATGAGAAAGCAATCTAGAAATCGTATCCCCTGAGTGATGGCCGGATGCCCGTTGGACATTAGAGGCTCTTCATTCCAAGCAAGTGACATCTAATGAGCATTTGGGTCTGACACGTGATGTGGTCTGTGAGAATTTTCAATTGTAAGTCCTTTGGAGGTAAGAATGTTGTACCTGAGCTGTGTGTTTGGTGGAAACGTAGAGTGAGCCGGGGCTGGGCTTGCAAGGGGGAGCACCACCCGGGAGCTGAGCTGCATCTTCTTAGACGTCAGGACTGCTGTGTTCCTCCTTGTCCTGACTTGCAGGCCAGTGACTGCTGCCCTGTGGTACAATTTGAGTGTAAATCCTGAGATATCTGTTCCAACTCCTGAATCTTTCATGGAGAGTGTGGGAATGTATTCTGGTTTTTTGGTTTGTTTTCATGAGCTGTATTTTGATATTCAACAGAGGTTCACTTGGGGCAGAGGCTAAGAATGTTTTCAGACTGCATTTCTCTTTTGTTTCTTCCTAATAACTTGCAATGGTTAGGGGAAAAAGCTACAAAACAAATAAGCCAAAAACAACCCTCCAAACCCACACACTGACATTTAAAGGATTTGTGCCTTTTACTTGCATTTACTTACAGCATTGTACAGATTGCTGTCTGAATATATACATCTGGATGTATTCTTTGAGATGCCCAAAGCACTGCAGAAGTCTCACTTCTTTGTTAAATAGATTTTCATGTTATTCCCATCAATTGGATCAGAATTTCTGAGGGCTGCTGGTCATCGATGTTGCTTTGCTCAGATTCATTCCTTCATTTGCTGATTCACTGAACACACAGTTGTTGACCCTCTGTTATATGCCAAGCACTGTACTGGGCACAGTGAGGGGGCGGGTGAGGAGGAGAACAAGACAAAGTCCCAGTCCCTGCTTGCTTGGAACTCTCATTCTGTGTGGCTTGGTTCATTGTGAGCAGATTAGGTTGGCCCTTGGCTGTCATGCTTCCAGGCAAAGCTATCCCTTTTGTCACTTGCCACCTGCAGTTCTGGGCTAAAAACTACCATATGTATAACTCCTCTTGGTATTTATTGGTTTGTTACATCCAATTTTGCAAAGCCTGATGCATTGTTTGGTTAGAAGGAATCCTCTATTCTACTCCCAAGAGGCCGCTCAACAGGCTTTGATGATCCGTTAAACCCAGTTCCATTTTTGACATGGGAGAGCCTGTAACTTTTTTGCCTGTTTTGATTTTGAGTCCTTTATAGGGTATTTTGAGAGTTGGGCACCATCAGGCGGGTTTGATGTCAGTGCCTCACAGGTGGGCGATGAAGTTCTGGGATCAATTTTGTTATATGGCCGCCTTGTACAGTGCCACACTGGAAGCTTACATTGCAAGACATGTTCTTTTCATGGCGAGATTGAGATGTGGTAATTGAAATGGGAATGGCTGAAAGGAATACTGATGTCTCCATACTGCAGGGAGGGGTCCAAAGCCATCTTGCTGAAGAGCAGCAGGGGTTTGTGGTCCTGTTCACTTCTGATAGGGAGCAGCATAAATAGCACATCCTGTCACTTCCCGATGGATACAGTTGCGTGAGGACTTGTTTATAATGAATGGTCCTGGAAAACAACATCTCAGGGAATGAGGAGGCAGGAGGGAACATTTCTGCAGGGATAGGAGAAGGAGGAACTGGTAGAAGATGTCATGGAGAATTGCATAATGGGTTGGTTTTATCTTAAGAAGAATCTTTTTGTTTGTTTGTTTGTTTTTGAAATGGAGTTTTGCTCTCGTTGCCCAGGCTGGAGTGCAATGGCACAATCTCGGCTCACCACAACCTCCACCTCCCGGGTTCAAGCGATTCTTCTGCCTCAGTCTCTGGAGTAGCTGGGATTACAGGCATGTGCCACCACGCCCAGCTAATTTTCTATTTTTAGTAGAGAAAGAGTTTCCCCATGTTGGCCAGGCTGGTCTTGAACTTCCAACCTCAGGCGATCCGCCTGCCTCGGCCTCCCAAAGTGCTGGGATTATAGACGTTGAGCCACTGTGCTCGGCCAGTCTTAAGAAGAATCTTGTAATGATCTTGTGGAAGGAGAGGAGGAAATAAAAGTAGGGTTACGTGGTGTAAAGTGCTTTGCACTCCCTCTGCATCTCATGGAAATGCAGAACTTTTGGGCTCCCAAGAGGGATGTGGACCAATGGGATGCCTTAGTTTGTGGATGGGGGGCGGGGCACTTGGGCCCAGATCAAGGGAACCGTGTAGGCTCACACCAAGTTAATGATAAAATTCAGGCCACTTGACTTCCAACCTTTTATTTTCTCCCTCAAGCCCAGGCTGTCTTCCGCATCATTCAGGAGCTCTTTTAAGCCTGGCTCAAGCTTTCTTGGGGCCTGTGGGCCGCCAAAGAAACTGCATAGTCCTCTTGGTAATTGTTGGGTACCTTTTGGGTGGCTACAGCTGTGGCCACGTGTATGCTGAAAGGAGTGACAGGACTGGGTCTCTTGTTTTTTAAACAGGGTCTCATTGCTACAATCATTGAATGTATTTTTTAAAGATGAATATAAAACAGCTACCCTCCCAAGCAAATCATAAAACAAATTATGCCCTTGCCACCCAGAACTACAGAGAAACAGCAGGCACTTCGTGGCACAGAGAGTAATGGCTGCAATATTAAAACAATGATGGGAAAACCAGGATCCAATAGCTGAAAGCAGGGAGGAAAACAGCCTCGTAATCCCCCAGGGATAATGGGTCTCACCGACAGGTCCCTGTGATTTATTGTGCTTAATGTACTTATTTTTATTTGTCCCCTTCAACACGGAGCTTTGTCACTGAAGAGATTTGATAATGGCCTGTTTGCAGTCACTTAGACTCTCGTAATAAAGCGCCACATTTTGGCTGTCTGTAGGTTCCGCTGGCTTCATTGGCATTCCCCCTCTGATTTCACCTTCACTGGCTGAGCTGGGATAGATCTAGATAAGGGCTGCCTCCCTTGCGTATTCCCGTCATGCTGCCCTGTCCTGACTTCTGCCTGATAGCCAGCCTTACTAGGTGGCTCTCCAGGCCCAGCTTGCCTCCTGCTTTCGTTTTATGCTACTTTGGGACCACAGGAAGGAACCCCTTATTCTGCCTGAAATAATAATGGATCCCTGGGACTTTTATCTTTGTAGACCACCAATGAGAGTTTACTGCTTGCAGCTTTTTGGGTGAGCAAAAATAAAAGCGGAGGAGTAGGTATGTGGGGTTTTTGCAAAAGAATGGGCTTGATTTAAAGGCTGTAGTGCCTTCTGAATGTGGTAGCCAGCTGCTTTGCAAAGAAGGGTGTGTGGGATTCAACAGTTGTGAGTGAGTCAACCTGAGGCTTTCATTTCAGCTTCTTCCTGGGCTTTGAAGGAAGGGAGGTAGAAGCTCTCCAGGGAGCTCCACAAAGGAGGCATGACTGGCCTCCTTCCTGCAAAACTGTCCCTGATCTGCTAACGTTGGGGTGAAGAAATCCAGGAAGTGAGAGACAGGGGCGATAACCAGAAAAGCAGCTTCAACTGTTTTCCAGGGCAGCATGTGTGTTTCCTCTCTTTGAGGACCTCTCTCTGATACCCCACCATCAGGTCTGGTCGGCGGGGAAGGTTCTGTGCTGGGTTGCATCTGACACTTGGCCCCTGTAGCACAGCTGGGGGAGAGCATTGCTTTCATTCTGAATACTGAGAGAGAACGAGTGAGTATCTAATTACGGAAAACTCAAATAGTGTAACTGAAAAAGACTCCTTTAAAATGTAGGAGCAGCAGCAAAAGTCAAGCACACCAGGGGTGGGAGCCGGGAGTGGAAGGGATCAGTGTCGCTAGGCCTCAGTAGATGGAGTGCTGTGGACACTGTGAAGTTTGAACATTCTAGCAAGGTGACGGCATCATTGAGGGAGAGATGGTGCTAACAATAGGACGTTGCTCTCAGTCACTTGGGCACCTTTTACTTTCCTATGCCTCTGTCAAAAGTTTTAACAGGCTCCCAAGCCACTGGACCCCAGTACACGGTACACTTTGGCCTCAAATGTGCCCCTGGTACCTTAAGATCTAGCAGTTCTGCTGAGTATATACCCAAAAGAGTTGAAAGCACAGTTCTAAAGAGATATTTGCATACTCATGTTCATAGCAGCGTCATTCACAATAGCCAGAATGTGGAAGCCACCCAGGTGTTCATCAGTGGAAAGGCTAAACACCATGTGGTGTAGACATACATGGAATTTATTCAGCCTTCAAAAGGAAGGAAGTCCTGTCACATGCGACAACATGGATGAACTTTGAGGACATGATGCTGAGTTAAATGAGTCAGTCATTAAAAAGATAAATATTTATCATTCCACCTATGTAAAGTCCCTACAGTAGTCAAATTTGTAGAGACAGAAAGTAAAATGGTGGTTTCCAGGGACTAGGGGAAGGAGAGAATTGGGAGTGAGCTTTTAAGGGGGAGACAGTTTCAGTTTGGGAAGATGAAACAGTGCTGGAGGTGGGTGTTGGTAATGGTTGCACAAAAATAGGAATGTGTGTGATTCTACCAAACTGTTCCCTTAAAAATGGGTAAAATTGTAAGTTTTATGTGATGTGTATTTTACTACGGTGAAAATAAGGTATCTCTGGCAGGCAGACTCTAAGTTGGCCCTCATGATCCTCATCTCCTGATCTGCTCTTGTGTGGTCCCTTTCACTTGGGGTGTGCAGGGGACTTGTGACTTGCTTCTAATAAGACCAGAGCAGAGGCGAAGGATGTCACTTCTGTGATTACATTTCCTTATGTAAGACCCCATCTTCATAGCAAACTTGCCCTGAAGGATTTCCTTCTTGGCTTGATGAAGTTGGCATGTTGGGGGAGCCCATGTGGCAAGGAACTGTGGGTGGCTTTGAGGAGCAGAGGGTGACCCCTGCCCACAGCCAGCAAGAAGGCAAGGACCTCAGGCACAAGGAAATGAATTCTGCCAGCACAGGAGGGAGCTTGCAGGTGGATTCGGCCCCAGAGCTCCCTGGGGACACCTTGGCTGTGTAGCCTTATGAGATTCATGAACCATAGACACAGCTAAGCCATGCCCAGGCTCACACTGAGCTATAGGAACTGTGAAATAATGAATGTGTGCTGTTTTGAGCCATCAACTTTGTGACAGTTTGTTACACAGCAATAGATAACTAATATGTAGCCTCCCAGGAGACCTGCCTGAGTCCATTCCATCCTAGTTTTCTACTCTGGTCACCTCAGGTCTCCATCTCCTCCTCTTGTCCTCTGTGAGTGGGCAGATGGCCTGCTTTTCTGTTTTCTGTTTATGCTCAAGTGCATTCATAGTTAGAGCCAATTTGTCCTCCTTGTGCCTTCCTGCTCTCTCTGGTTTCCGGTTTGTGTGTCCCATCCAGAGACCGAGGGTGCCAACTCTGCCCACCTCTGTAGAGGTGTACTCTCCTCCCCATCCCCCACAGCACCCCCACTTGCCTCTCCAATATAAGGCTCATGACACAAAATACAGGTGATCGGTGATCAGATTTTCTAGGGTGGCTCTAATTGCAAATATTCTGCCCCATTTGTTATCCCATTAAACCATTAAACTGTCCCAGGCATTCCACTTTGGTATATAAGCTCTTCCGGGACTGGCTCCCATGTGACAAATTGAGAAGTGCCACTGCCATTTTTTGAGCACCTCCTGAATGTCAAATGCTTGATTCATGATTCTCATTGTGTTTTCCCAACAGCCTGATGAGGTGGCTGTCATGGTGCCTGACTTACAGAGGAGCACACTGAGACCAAATGAGGTTCATTTCCTTGTATGAGGTCACACACATGTGTGTGACCTTGGACCAGATATGGGTCCAGACAAGGATGAGAACTCCAAAGCCCTGTCCTAACTTGCCTGGGGCCACTGCCTTGGAAGAGCACAGTAGTTTTTCTGCCAGCTCCCATGTCCCAGTTTTGTTTGAAAAATAAGAGTTGCTGCACACAGAGGCTACTTCGAGGTTTCTGATAATTCATTCTGATGGACAGCAGTGGGACAGTGTCGGGTAGGGGACACAGCTAAAGCCTCAAATTGAAATAAGAAGAGGAGACAAGGGGGTCAGGAATAAGGTTGCAACTGGGGTAGCCACCCTAGTGAGTAGAGTAGGGGTCCACAGTGTTTCTCACCTAGGATGTGTACTAGAATCCTCTGGAAAGCTTTAACTGATGCTGATGTCTGGGATCCACCCCTAGAAATAGTGATTTTAATGGTTTGTGATGCATCTTGGGGACCAGGATCAAAAACTCCACAGGTGATCTGCATAGGCAGCCAAGATTTAGAACACTGGGAAGGAGGCCTCCATATGGTACAGGTTGAACAGGAAGTAGAGAAGACACAGCCTTAGGATAAGGGCAGGGCCTGGACCAACAGCACAACCTCTCTCCCCATCTAGAGGGTGACCCTGAGTGCTCATAGGGTCAGCCTCTAGATGGGGAGGGGAGTTGACCCTTAGACTTAGAGCATCCAGGTCTGCAGGGCCGGGAGCCCAGTTTGGGGACCCAGTGAGGCCTGCTCATGCTTTTCCTGTGGAATCGATAGATTTCCTGCATCTTCAGTGCCTTCAATGCACTTCTACTCAACATGTAGTGAAAGGGGCGGAGGTGCCCTGTGAGACTTGTGACGTTCAGCGGGCCTTAATAATAGGCCTGCATGGACTGCCTTTTGTCTTTGCTTAGAGTTCATGGTTAAACGTGGGGTTTGTGGTGTTCCCATGATACCTGAATACCGCTTGATGAGAGGGATTAGATTGCAAACACCTTGTGAGTGGGGAACCCAATATTTGTGTCTGCTAGAATGAGTGATATGATGGCTTACCTGTACCACTTAAGTTAATGATTGATTTCAACAGCTTTTGAAAGTTGAAGCACAGAAGTCTTAAGGTCACTTCGGGAGGTGAAAAACTTGGTGATTATCACTGTATTTAAAATTGTGGCTCTCCGATAACTCCACACTTGCCTTCTTTACCCTGCTCTGTTTTTTCCTATAGCATCACCGTTTGTTAATATGCTGTGCGTTTATCTGAATGTGAGCTGATGACGGCAGGGTTTCTGTCTTTTTGTGTCTTAGGCATAGAGAACTCTCAATAAATATTTGTTGAGTGAATGGAGTAAATGGTGGCCTCTACTAGTGTTAGTGGATCCAGAAAGGACATGGAATAGTTTAAGATTTATTCCTTGGTTGAGTTCCAGGAGGAACTGCAGGATTTACTGGGGTGGTGGGAAGAGGAAGGGGGACAGTGCTGTGGATACATTTTGTTTTACCTACCCTTTTGGAGCTGGTGTTTTCTTTCTCAATTAAAATGTATTTTCTTTAGCGGTTACTTTGTAATGGAAAATGACACTTCTGCCAGTTTTAGTCTTTTATGTGTTCTAAACCGAGTCCTTTCCTCCTGCTGTGGCTTCAATAATGCATCGTTTCATAAGTTCACAGAATTTAATGTGCTTCTGCTGAACCCCTAGTCTCAGCCAGATAGTTAAATGAAAATTAACCACTGTAGGTTGGATTCAAAGTCACCTATTCACCTTCTCCCTTTTTAATCCCCTTCCCTCACTCCACGTTTGCAAAGCAGTGTTGCATTTTTCTTTTTTGAGAAATAGGGCATGATGTGTGCCTGCACACGGGCTCTTGTGTGTGAATGGGAATATTGATTTATTTCACAATCAGAGATCCATGAAAAAATAACACTGTGAACATACACATTTTTGAAATGCTGCCTCTTCCGCTGAAGTACAGTGGAGTGTAGGGACCTGTAGCAAACTAATATTTAACGAGGGTGCCACTGTTGTACCACCTTTAGAATTCACAGTGGCTGCTAGTGAAACTGGCATGTGTCTTGACAAGGCTGTGAAATGTAGTCAGTCTTCTTTCATTCATTCATTTGTTCATTTATTCAGAGCCAGATGATCATTTTGTATGCATGAAGCACCTGAGTGGTGGATGTGATAGGCTGATTGCATTTGTGGCCTCAAATCTTCACACGTTTCTGATTTCCTACCCAACTCCTTTGACTTTTGACTTTAAGTTTCACCATGTGACTAGCTTTGGCCTGAAGTATGAGGTGGAGGGGATGGTATGCCAGTTTTAAGCCTATGCCTTAAAAGATCTTGAGCATTTCTGCTTTTTTGTGTCCCTGCCTTTGCCACAAAGAGTGTGCCCTGCCAGCTGCTGGTCAGAAGAAGAGTAGGAGAGGGGAGCAGAGCCACGCAGCCAATTCATGGGCCCTCAGTGAGAAACCAAGCCCAGTCTAGATCAGCCAAGTCCCAGCTGACCTGCAGGTGCATGACTAGAAATAAGTGATCGTTGCCTCAAGACACTGGTTTTGGGATGGCTCATTAGGTAGCATTATTATGCAACAAATGACTGATGTGGTGGGTTGCTAACATGATTCAGACGTGAATCCTGTTTGAAAGAAGCTTTGTAGTTTTGTGAGGGTGGTGAGAAGGCCAGGACAAGATTGTGAACTCTCGTACGTGGTAGAGAAGGTACGAAACGTCTTAAGAAAGGACTCATGGTGAGAGTGGCTTTTGAGAAGGCATTTTTAGGTGATGTTGTCAAAGTCGAGAATAGAAGAACTATTAGACTAGGATCCTATCAGACTAGGATTTTGAGTTAAAAATATGTGATATTTCAAAGTTGATTTCATCACAGCCAATGCATCGATGCCAATTTTCCGTTAAATTTCTAATGACTTTGCTTTTGATGAACCAAAACCAGCTCTTACAACTTAAAGCTACGCTGCTGTCAGAGAACATCTCCGTTTGATAATAGCCAACATTTACAGTGCTTATCACAAAGAATTTTACCCAGCATGTATTTGGTCTATGTACTGTGTGCCAGGGATGTGTTTGCTAAGCATTTTATAGGTATGATCTCATGTAATCCTCCTCATGATCTGAAGAGTTGTAGGTACTAATGTTGGGTCAATTTTCCAGGTAAATTAACCAAGCCAGAGAAGGGTAAGTTACTTGCTAAAGTCATGCAGTAACATCGTATTCTCATTCTCCTTCCTGCACCTGTCTCTCCTAATAGAATGGCATCCTCTCAATACAGTTTTTTTTTTTTTTATGGCTAGCACATAGCATGGTGCCTTGCACATAGTTGTTGCTCAAAAAGATGTTTTTGTTCAACAAAAAGTGAATAAATCTTTTAAAAAGGAATAATGGCTTCATCCATGTCCATATGGAAGTCATAGCCAGTAAGGAAATGAATTTCTGGACTAATTCATATAAAACAAAGGGGCAAGTTTAGTGGTGGAGATATTGGAAATTTTTATAGGCATTTGGTAGAGCACAGAGGAGAGCCTCTTGATTCAGCCTTGAAAGATAACATTTCTGGAGCTGGTGAACTCTGAAATGACTCTCAAATGAGGGGTCTGAATGAGGCAAGGGGGAAGCAAGGGGCCTGCCTGTTGAGGAGACGAGAGTTCACAGAACCGTATGCAGCTTCCCATATGCACAGAACCGTATGCAGCTTCCCATATGCACAGAACCATATGGAGCCCAGGGTAGCTTCGGGGACAGGTAGCTGCTCAGTTGTAAATGTTTGTTTTTCTGAGCTGTTGCATGCCTTGGCGCTAGGGCAGTAAATCTCTGAGCAGCTATGCCCAGTAAAGTCATGAAAACTTGAGTCTCTGTAGTCTCATAACCCCTTATTTCCACCTGCCTAATGCTTGTTGCTTTAGGGAAACTGAGGCAGCACCCCCCCGCCCCCACCCCAAAATTATGACCTCCTCTGTCCTGAACAACCTGAGGAATTGTTGCCTATGAGGGCTGGCTTATCACGAAGCTCATGGTCCTTTTGAATAGATCTGAGAATTTTGCAGATATAAAATAAATTTGAAATAGCTTGTTGTAGTTTAAACCTTGACAGCATTATGTGCAGTGATTCTTGGTTTTTGAAACAATTTCTTGATGATTCTCAACTTGACTCAGACTCCAGCATGTACCTGTGAGATTTTGGTGAAGTTCTGTTGCAGAGTTTTGAGCCTCAGTTTTTTCATTTCTTGCAGCTTTTTGAGCCTCAGTTTTTTCATTTGTGAAACAGAGATAAAATATGCCTCCTAGAATTGCTGTGCGGGTTAATTTGAAAAAAATATGAAGAAAAGCTCATTTTTTTTTTAAGCACCAACTACTGTGCCAAGCACTCTTTTTAGCCTCTATATGAATGAATTCATTTGACATTTTAAATCCTCACATAAAACCCTAAGATGGAATAAACAGGAGTGTGAGCCCCGCCTTGCATCTGAGGCATTGTGGAGTTTGGTAACTTGCTTAGGGCTACAGGGCTGGGTAGGGGAGAAACTAGGATTTGAACACCAGAATTATGCGCTTAACCCTGAAGCTGTAGTAGCTCTGTTCCTAGAATGTGGCAGGTGCACATGGGTCGCTAGTTCCCCTCTATCTTCAGACCACTGTCGTTGTTCTCTCCCAGGCCTGAGGAGCCAGTGGGCCAGCTGGGCTGGGAGGGCTTGGCAGGGCCCTGGCCTGGCTCCCCACTTATGGGGGGCAGAAACCTGGGGCCTCCCTTTCAGCACTGACATGGCTGGTGGTTTGCATTTGCCTGTGTGTTCCTCATCTGTCTATCCCATGAGGTTTCACACTACACAAGGGCGGGGGCCATTTCCGTTTTCCTGGTTCACACTGTGTTTCTGGCACCGAGCTTCACATCCTTCCCTCATTGAACACTCAGAAAGTTATGAATGAATGAATACATTTTTATTTAGTTCTCCCCTCCTCTATCTTCTGGTCACTCCAGACCACTCTCCCTTTAAGACCCAGTTCAAATGACCCCATCCCCTTGTAGGTGCCTCCGTGAGTATTGCTTGCATCTCCTTTGTTTCCTGTCCATGAGCCCCTCCGGGACCCCCTGCAAACACCAGACCCAGAGCCTGCCTCCCCATGTTGGATGTTCCCAATCAATGGTCTTGGCGTGAGTTGATTGAACAGAGTCCCTATTTGAGAAGAGCCTGACTTATGTCTCTGCTAGACTTTAGAGGGGACCAAGAATAAAGGGTCTATTTAAGGAAACCATTACACAAAATTTCCAGATACGTATTATTCCAGCTCCAGAATCTCAAACTTCTGAATGGATGGGCTCCAAAAAATACACTTTCTTTTCTCTCATTGAAAAAGATGTCATAAATGGCGCTAAGAAATGCTGCCGGTGTGCAGAAGTCTGCCTAGCCCAGGAGGGAGCTTCCTGGACCTTTGCCACGAAAATTGTCAGACATACACTTGCAAACCTGACAATTAAAACGGAAGACAATACAATAGAATAAGAATCTTTTCCATTTCTGTTGAATGAGGGGGCTTGAGAAAAAGCTCACGAAATTAAAAGGAGAATGAAGACGCTTCTGAAGGGAGCTCGGTAAGAATTTTAGGGGCAGGTGGCATCTGTTATTTATTGTGCCAGTTTTGATTTCAGATTACAGTATATGCTTTCTTTTGGGGAAGTGAGGTGATATCCTGGTTGAAAGCTCAGGCTTTAGGGTCAGGCAGATGCTGATTTACATCAGGAACTTAAATGTGTAACTGACTTTAAGTAAGCTACTCAAAAACCACCAGTCTCTTCATCTCTAAAGGGAGTGAAGTATGTTACAAAACTCGTGAGTGTTGTATGAAGATATATTTGTTTTTTGTTTTGTTATTGAGACAGAGTCTTGCCCTGTTGCCCAGGCTGGAGTGCAGTGCTGTGATCTTGGCTCTCTGCAACCTCTGCCTCCTGGGTTCAAGCGATTCTTGTGCCTCAGCCTCCCGAGTAGCTGGGATTACAGGCACGCACCACCATGCTTGGCTAATTTTTTGTATTTTTAGTAGAGATGGGGTTTCGCCATGTTGCCCAGGCTGGTTTCTAAGTCCTGATCTCAGGTGATCCTCCCACCTCGGCCTCCCAAAGTGCTGGGATTACAGCGGTGAGCCACTGCACCCAGCCTGTGTGAGGATATATTCGAAGGTGCTTTGTAGGTAGTTGGAGGGCTCCATAAATGTTACCCACCTCCCCCGTGTGTGATACAAATATTCTTTATCATGAGCTTTATTAGTACAGTTGTCCACCACGTGCACATCATTTCTTGGTTGGAAGGGAAATGGAAGGGCATTTGCAAATGCAGAAGGAAGGGATTTTCATGAGGTCATTGAAGATGGTGACAAAATGGAAGGGAGGAAGGAGTTTGTTTCTCAAACAGTGTTCCTTCATGGGCTCATGGATGTTCTGTAAGACTTTTTTTTATTACTTTTTTTTTTCGTTTTTTAAAAATTGACCTTTTGATGTCATCTAAAATTAATATAAGCATCTTCTGGGTCATGAATGTGACTACTTATAACCAAATACTGGTCCTAGGTGAGGCATTGCTTTGGTACAAAGTGGTCCCTCTTCAATTGAAGAAAGAGAATGAAGTGCAGAGGGGCCTGACTGTGGAACGGGAGCATTGGTGGTTCCACAGTGTTGTCCACATTGGGAAGGAACGATGGAATGAGCTCCATGCACAGGGTGGGGCCACCATCTTCAGGAGAACCTGGCCAGCCTGAGCAAAGTGGACCATATTCCTTCTGGGAAGTGGTGGTTTAGGTCAGGGGAATAGAAACAAACGTATGTGACGTTCACTGAAACTTGTATTGGCGTTGATCTTCAAGGTAAACCTTGTAAGTTTGTTTTGATTTCAAGATTGTTTTAGAGCAAAAATCATAGGCATGAGAACCTTGTCCTAGTCTGTTCAGACTGCTGAAGTAAAAATACCATCAACTGGGTGATTTTTTTTTTTTTCTTGTGAGATGGAGTCTTGCTCTTGTCACTTAGGCTGGAGTGCAGTGGCACGATGTCAACTCACCACAACCTCCACCTCCAGGCTCAAGCAGTTCTCCTGCCTCAGTCCCCCGAGTAGCTGGGATTACAGGCACCCACCCACCACGCCTGGCTAATTTTTGTATTTTTAGTAGAGACAGGGTTTCACCATGTTGTTCAGACTGATCTCGAACTCCTGACCTCAGGTTATCCACCCGCCTCGGTCTCCGAAAGTGCTAGGATTACAGCTGTGAGCCACTGCGCCTGGCCAGGTGACTTTTAAATAACACGAGTTTAGGTCTCGCAGTGCTAGAATGTTGGAATTCCAAGATCAAGATACCAGCAGATTCGGCACCTGCTGAGGGCCTGCTGTCTCTTGGCCTTCTCATTGCGTCCTTACGTGAAAGAAGGGGCGAGGGAGCTCTCTAGTGTTTCTGTTTTAAGGGCAGTAATCCTATTCTCGAGGGCTCCACCTTCATGGTATGAACAGCTCCCAAAGGCCCCACCTTCTAATAATACCATCACATTGCGGGTTAGGATTTTGACAAAGCAATTTTGGGGGGGACATCGATATTCAGACCACAGCAGAACTCATTCGATGTTCACGTGCTGTTCTTTTCACTTGGAATTCTGTTTCCTTCACTTCCCCACCCTGGCCTCGATAACCCCTGCTCTGACCCAGGTCTCTGTTTAATTACCGCTTTTTCACCCTACCATCACCACCTTGCCCAGACCAAAACTTGCCTTCTGTATTTGTAAAGCCCTGCGAGGCACTTTTCCCAGTTGACTTTATAGGCTTTTATGGGATGTTCTGGTTTATTTGTTTCTTCCCTGCTGGACTGGAAGCTTCACAAGAGCCAGGGGTGTCTTTTTGTCGTTTTCCTTGCCACTGTATCCTGCAGTGGTGAGCGCAGTGCCTGGTACTTGGTGCTCAGTAAACATTTACTATAAAAATAATTTTTTAATTTTAATGTCTTACATGTTTTTCTCTTCTCTTTTCTTCTCTTTTCCCTCCCTCCCTCCTTCCCTCCCTCCCTTCCTTTTTTTTTCTTTTTTTTTTTTTTTTTTGGCAGAATCTCACTCTGTTGTCCAGGTGCATGATCTCGGCTCACTGCAACCTCCCGAGTTCAAGCAATTCTCCTGCCTCAGACTCCTAAATAGCTGGGATTACAGGTGTGGGCCACCATGCCCTGCTAATTTTTCTATTTTTAGTAGAGACAGGGTTTCGTCATGATGGCCAGGCTGGTCTTGAACTCCTGGCTTAAGTGATTCACCTGCCTTGGCCTCCCAAAGTGCTGGGATTACAGGCATGAGCCATTGTGCCCAGTCCACTTTAATGTTTAAATAACATAGGAATAAAAACAGTTTAAGCCCAAACTAGATTCTCTGCCAGTTTCTTTTCTCTAAATGTGCCCCCTAGTCACACAAGTCACAGGAACATCCTGTAGGACGGCTGGAGGGCCTAAGTCAGAGTGTCTGAGTCCCCAAGTGTAGGAGAGGAAAATGGGAGGTGGGAATTTACTGGGTCCTTACTGAGCACCAGGGAGCAGGATTGCTGTGGGCTGGCTTCCATGGATCTAGCCTGCACCTCAGCTTGGCTGCGTGGTTACCTGAGATGCTCACAGGAGGGAGTTTTAATTCAGTGATACCCTTCCTGGGGCTCACATCTTTTATTTTATTTATTTATTTATTTATTGACCAGAGTCTCACTCTGTCACCCAGGCTGCAGTGCCACGGCATGATCTCGGCTCACTGCAATCTCTGCCTCCCAGGTTCAAGCAATTCTCATACCCTAGCCTCCCCAGTAGCTGGGATTATAGGAACGCCACCACGCCTGGCTAATTTTTGTATTTTTTGGTAGAGATGGGGTTTTGCCATGTTGGCCAGGCTGGTCTCGAACTCCTGGCCTTAAGTGATCCACCTGCCTCGGCCTCCCAAAGTGTTAGGATTACAGGTGTGAGTCACCACGCCCGGCCACATCTTTTATGATCTTTTATGAGAAACTTGGGCTCCAGCGGAAGGTGAACAGGAAGTTGTAGGTTGGGTGGTTCATCTCCCGGAGGGTAGCTGAGCTGCTTATGCCTGCAGTGAGACCTCTGAATGGGTGTCACTCACTAGATTTCATTATAATTATAACTTTGTTTTAATAGCCTTTCAGAGTTTATAAAGCACATTAACAAGCTTCATATTGCTCTATCAATATCAGTAGTTACGTAAGGCTGCCTTATGATACTGATATGAGATAAACATTCCTATTTTTGTAGATAAACAGACTGAGGCTTAGGGGGATTGGTGTGAACTTGGGGCTCGGGACTTCACGTGTAGTTAGCCATCTGAAGTACTGGTGTGTACCCCAATTCTACTCCTGGGATGAAGTCTCAGAGGCAGGAGTTGGAGCTGCCCCCTCCGCAGAGGGTCAGCTAAGATATCAGCTTGAAATAAAGTGGCTCAGTAGCAATGTAATTATATTTTCAGCAACTTAAAAAGTGATAGAGTCACTGGTATAGGAAGCATGGTATCGCCTGTGGAACACACACCCTTGTGCCCTGCAAACCTGGGTTTGAAAGCGAGGGCTGTCACTTTCTGGCGCATGTGGATTATTTAGCCGATGAGCCTTAGTTTCTGCATGGGCAAAACGAGGATGATAATGGTTAATCAGAGCATTAGGATGAAGTGAGTTATCATTTAAAAACTGCCTAACTCAGCATTTAAATAAGTTCCAGTAATTATTCGTATTCTTCCCAAGGTTTTACCTGCCCTTTTATTAATTCCTCCCCCCCATGGAAAGCCTCACAAATACATGTGCTGTTGGTGCCATCATGGGCTCAGGGTGACTCCGCCTTTGTGTGCTTGGCAGCATCTCAGAAGCTGCAGAGAGCCTGAGCTTCAGAAAACAGGAGGGGAGGTTGATTTGTGCCATCAGGAAACCTAGGGTTGCTCCTGTCATTGTCCTTTGTAGACAAAGGTTGACTTTTGGAGTAAGTGCACGCATGCCACTAAGAGGGTGATTTGCAGGAGGTGGAGGCTTTCCTTCCCTGGGTAGGCAGATTAAAGGCGGGGTTGCCGGCCCTCCGCAGTGTAAGCCGTGACCTCGAGAATCTGGCAGCTCCGCGGGATGGTGGCATCTGGCCTTTCAGGGCCTCCCCAATCTGGTCTTGCCCGGTCTCCCACAGATTCCCTGCATAGTTGTGACACTCCAGCCAAACTGACAGTCACTTGGATGTGGCACATGCCTTCCCATAGTCAGGCCCTTTGCGTGGGCTGGCACAATATGGGGGCCTCAGAAGAGAAGTGGGGTTTGATAAGTGGGCTGCTTCTCCCACACTGACTCACCCTGAATGATAGCAGTGTGTGAAGAGCACACTCGTTAATGCCATCAGAGGAAAGAGGGTCAACGTACAGTGACCCAGGATAATGTTCCCTGCAAGCGCATGATCGCTTTAAAGTGCTGTGTTCCCAGCAGTGTGGACGGACAGCTGCAGTAATGATTCGTACACAGAGGAAGCTGGCATTGACCGAGGCCAACCGCATGGCCTTGGTTTCTGCCCTGAATGAGCTGACATTCTTGTTGAAGGTGAGACAGGTGGTGTGGTTGGTGGGCAGAGACCACCTGACTTAGATAGGTTCAAGTCTTTATTTTTCTCATTGATTCATCACACAACTATTTACTGTGCACTACTGTATATGAGGCACTGTTCTAAGTACTGTGGGACTGTTAGTAAACCAAGGGACACGAGTCCCTGCCTTCATAGAGTTTGTGTTCTGGCAGAGGGAGATAGACTAACACACAAAACAAGGAAAACATACTGTGTCTCCTGTGGTGGTAAATACTCGGAGAGAAGAAAATACAGAAGGGAGAGAGAGGGAGGGTGGAGTGTGTGTGTTGGCAGGAGTGGGTTAGGGTTTGCGGTTTTAAGGAGGTTGGTCCGGGAGGGTTTGCAGAGGTAATTGGAGGAGATGCCTGAAGGTGGTGAAGGAATGAGTCATGGGGCTTTCTGGGGAAAGAGCCGAGGCCCATGCCAGTGCAAAGGCCTTCAGGCCATTTCTTAATTGCTAATAGAGAGACCACAGAGGGGTCGTGTGCCTGGAAGGGCGCAAGCCCCTAGGAAAGTATTGGGAGAGGATGACAGAGAGGAACCCAATTGTTCTGGGTCTCCTGGGCACAGTGTGCATTGGAAGAGATGCATGAGCTGATTCATGTTTATCAGGATCACGAGGCTACTTCTTGGTTGTGCATTGGCCCCAGGTAGCAAAGGCTGAAACAGGGAGACTGCGGAGGGCTGTACTTCAGGCAGGAGATGAGGGTGACTTGGGCCAGGGAGCAGTACTGGAAGGCTTTGAGAAATATATGAGTCTGAGTCTCTGCTGCTTACATTCTCTATGACCCTGGTTGAGTTACTTTGTCTTATTACACTTTAATTTTCTTGACTCTGCAATGGAAATAATAATACTGAAACTTCCTGGAGAGGCTGCAAGGTGGTAGCCAAGCATCACCCTGCTTGCAAAGCAGCGCTCCCCGACACTGTGGGTGCTGGAGGTGTGTGCATGGCCCTTTGCATCATATCTCACTGGAAGGGTCTTAAGCTGCTGAGGCTGAAACGTAAAGATAACAGCAGCTTCCTGCCGCACAGACTTCTCCGGCATTGGCATCCGAGCATATCTTTAGAAATCTTCTAACCCATTCTTGGTTATTATTTGCAATCCAGGGCCCAAAGTGATGAGTTTTCCCATTTTCAACATAATTCATCTGGCTGTGTGTCATGTCTCATGGCCTCTTGGATTTGTGGAGAGATGGGGGTGATTTGTAGACGCACGTGAGGAAAATTGGATTATGGAGTGATTAGTTAAAAGAGCGCTCCATCAGTCTATTGAAAACCCCATCGTTTGGGGCTCTTGGAGTTCAAGTTAATCATAGCAAAGGTAGGAGAATGGCAGGAGAAAAGTAAAATTCCTGCCCATTTATGTAAGCAGGGGATGCATACCTGTTGTCCCATGATCAAATCTCACAGGTTTCCTAGACATGCTGAAGTGAGGTAATTCAGTGCATCCTTTTACTCTGTGGAATGTATGAAACTTTTATTTGCAAAATACCTTATTTGTAGTCTTAGTTGCCTTATATGATAAAGATTAGCCTTCCTGTTCCAGTGTTACTGATGAGAGGCTGAGTTTCATCTTTGGTGTTTTTCCTAAGCTTTAACAATGCCCCCCTGCTGAGAGGTCTCCTGGCTGGCATCTGCTTCCCTCACCTGCCCCTTTATCACTGCTGAGGGTGGAACTGGGTGTGGGGGGGCATCTTGGTATGATTTGGATATAGTCTGCACTGACTTGAAACACAGGCATTTCATTTGCCCCAGGTTACTGGCCTTTTTTCATTTCATAGAAGGCAAAGAGAATTGGCCGGGTGCGGTGGCTCAAGCCTGTAATCCCAGCACTTGGGGAGGCCGAGGCGAGCGGATCACGAGGTCAGGAGATTGAGACCATCCTGGCTAACACGATGAAACCCCGTCTCTACTAAAAATACAAAAAATTAGCCAGGCATGGTGGCAGGTGCCTGTAGTCCCAGCTGAGGCAGGAGAATGGTGTGAACCCGGGAGGCGGAGCTTGCGGTGAGCCGAGATCGTGCCACTGCACTCCAGCCTGGGTGACAGAGCGAGACTCCGTCTCAAAAAAAAAAAAAAACAAAAAAAAACAAAAACAAAAAAACCCCGCAAAGATAATTGATAGCATTTGCGGGTGTGGCAAAGGTGTTAGTACCTCCTCTCCTCTGTTAAAGTGCTATTGGAGACTTTCATTCAGCCATATTTGGCCTCCTGGTTACAGTACTGCCCTGAGGGCTTTGCAGTGTTAGCCTGATGTCTGGAGAACCTGCCCCATGTGCCACTGTTTTCATATTCAGGCTCATGAAGATGATCACTCACTTAAGGGTTCCTATTTCCTTAACCTTTTGTAGTGAGACATTGTAACTTGTTTCCTGAAACCGCAAGGCTTAACATGAGTGAAATATACTCTGTAGGTGGGTCTTTTTCAAAATAAGGTCCATGGGTCTATATTCTGTATGTTTTATGAGAGGGAACTATTTAAACAAAACTGTTCAAATTGGGGTTTATATTTTGATGAATCTGAAAAACAAATGGCTGTGATTCTTTGCTGTGATAATTTGCCATGGAAACATATTTTTGTAAGACTCTGCCTTTTAACCACACTTCTCTTCTTTAAAAAGGGTCAAGTTATTACCCACATTTGATAAACCCAATTATAATTCTTATTTCTTTACCTTTCATTTCTCAAAAATCCTTTCCAGGTGATGAGGTTTAGACCAGCCTTCCCACACAGATGCTCACCTTTCCTCTGAGTCCTCCAGCTGCTCATTTGGAGAGCTGGAGGTGACTTCGCCTGGGGGATTTAGTGCAGGGACTTCTGGGGGCACCAGGGCCCGCTACAGGCTTTGAGCAAGTTGCTTGTTGAGCTGGACAGTAAGCCATGCAGCGTGTTGTGTGTGCAGAGCTTCTTTTTCGGCCCCGGGGGGCTCGTAACTGTGTTCTGGAAACCTGGTACACAAGAAGGCATCTGGAACGTCAGACTCTCCATATGGGAGCCTGTCAGAGAATGTCGTCGCGTTTTGGCCTAGCAGCCTCTGTGGCATCTTTATCGAAAGTAAAAAAAAAAAATTAAAAAAGCTACTTATTAAGTAGACAAGGACAGTTTGGAGGAGGACAGTTTGTAAGAATAGCATTTATTCTTTGCAATCAGAAGGCTAAAAAGTACATTAACATACATTCAAAGTATATTAAACATAAAATATATTCTAATAAAAAGTACATTCACGTATAAAATAAATCTCGCTTCCATCCCTCTGCTGCTGGGTTGGCTGTCCACAGAATGGGCACAGCGAGGCAGGTGTGAGGGAGAAGCATATACTTATGTTAATATGTATGTCAAAAGTAAGAGGAGCAGAGGGAATGAAAATATCCATATGAATTTTTTTTTCCAGAATTTAAAGCAACACCTAGTTGAAGATTCAGATGAAAACGTCTCAGTCCCTTATGGCTGGGAGGTTTAGCAAAGCTTTCCCAGAGGAAAGAACACATCATTTGTGTGGGGTGGCTCTGCTTCACTGAAATGACCAGAACGTAGCTGTTAAGCCTGGGAGGATGGGTCAGGCCACAGGATCAGGTAAGAGTGTACCCTTCAGGCCGCACATGGCAGAGACTGCACATGACTTGTGCACGGATAAGGTCTGGGCCTTATCTCTGTCTCTTCTGGCTCTGGAATATAGTACATTTCTCAATTAAGCCTCAGTTTCCTTATCTGAATGCTGGCATGGTAATGGCAGTCTTGCAGGATAGTTAGAATGTTCAAATGAGAGAGTCTATCATAGTTTGCTCTGCTGTTTGCTCCATAGAAGCTGCGGATGGTTGAGATTTTGGTCAAGACCTTTCTTTCGTCTGATCTGACTTGGGTCCAGATACTTGGAAAAATATGGCAATCATGCTGGGTCCAAAAGGCTGTGGGATTCTTTTACTTCAGCTTAAACCTGTTTTATTGGTCTTCCGGAAATGCTTGCAGAAATAAGAGCATGTTAACGTGGGTGGACACAATTTGGAGTGCTTGATTAACTCAGCAATTAATAAAAATGGAGAGGTGACAATTGGTGTTACCAAGCTACAGTTGAAAGCAGTGCACTTGGCCTCTCTCCATGCAAGCAGATTGGTGGAGAAGCCACCCATGGGGAAGAACATCAGAATTCAGAAGAGTGAAGCAGGTTGGGAAAAAGGTACTCAGAACAAAAAACAGGGTGTCAAGATGAGCTGGTTGCTTATTACATTCATTTAATCAGCAGATGCTTACTGAGTAATTCCCATGTACCTGATACCGTGCCAGGAGCCGAAGATACCTACATGAATTAGGCATAGCCTCTTCTTTGAAGAGAGGCTGATGCTGTTTTGGAGGTAACAGACATATAAGCAACACATTCTAATACACTATGGCGAGTACAGGATAGATGGTGTTTCAAGTTCATGCGTTACCAAAGTAAGGAGTGGTTAATTAATTTTACTAAAAGGGAGAGAACAGTATTGGCTTTAAAGAAAAAGTGGTTTGAGCCAGACCTGCCAGAATAAGTCGATGGGAAAAGATATTCTAGCACAGAGGACAGGAAGAGCAAAGACAGGGAGGCCTAAAATGAAGGGTGGATTTGCAGTTGTTAAGTGGGAAGACTAGATATAGACTGGGTTTGAAGTCTACTCTGCCACTTACTAGCTGGGTGGCTGTGGACAAAGCAGTAAGCCTTCCTGTGAGTGGTTTCATCATCTGTCAAATGGGGATGCAGGATCCATGCCTCATGGGGCTGTTGGGAGGATTCCATGTTAGTTTAGTGTGCTTGGGATGTTGTGACCCCTCCTGAACATTACAGCCCTGAGGCATCCCCTGTTCTTTGATGTGCTGTATATAAGAAAAGAGACTGGGCGTGGTGGCTCACGCCTGTAATCCCACCACTTTGGGAGGCCGAGGCGGGCAGATCACCTGAGGTCAGGAGACCAGCCTGACCAACATAGAGAAACCCTGTCTCTACTAAAAATACAAAATTAGCCAGGCATCGTGGCGCATGCCTGTAATCCCAGCTACTCGGGAGGCTGAGGCAGGAGAATCGCTTGAACCCAGGAGGCAGAGGTTGCGGTAGGCTGAGATCACGCCATTGCATTCCAGCCTGGGCTCGGAACTCCATCTAAAAAAAAAAAAAGGAAGAAGAAGAAGAAGAAAAGAAACTGGGACTAGAAATGTCACTATGGCCAAGTATTGAAAGCATCTGAATATCATGCATCCTGATGATATCTCTGCAAACATTTACCCTCACTCTTTTAAAACCATATCTTAAGCTATCAAACACTTATCCTATTAAACACAGCATCCATCGGTGATCCCAGTGACAAGTAATTGAATGTTAGTTCTGGAGTCTTTCCTGGGGTGATGGCCTGGAGAAGCCTCTCTTTTAAGGATTAGATTCAGAGGTAGAGGTAAATGAGTGTTGAGCACCAGGAAGAGCTGAGTTCAGCATTGAGTTAGATCTGGGGTCAGATTCTGGCCTTACCTTTGTTAGCCGCTTGACCTCAGGCACATCATCAGGTTCATGTTTAGTTTCTACATCCATGAAGTTAATGTATTTATATATTGAGATGTAACATTTTCTCTGAAGAGCTGGGATTGAAAATTCCTTTGAGAAAGGAATTGCCTTCGTTTAGGAAAACAGTTTGATAAGCTAGAACAGCATTTTGTCAGATAGAAATACAATATAAGCTGGCCGGGTATGGTGGCTCATGCCTGTAATCCCAGCACTTTGGGAGGCTGAGGCGGGCGGATCACAAGGTCAGGAGTTTGCGACCAGCCTGGCCAATATGTATTTGTATACTAAAAATACAAAAATTAGCTGGGCGTGATGGCGGGTGCCTATAGTCCCAGCTACTACTTGGGAGACTGAAGCAGAATCACTTGAAACCAGAAGGTGGAGGTTGAAGTGAGCCGAGATCACACCATTGCGCTCCAGCCTGGGCAACAGAGCAAGGCTCTGTCTCTAAAAAAAAAAAAAAAAAAAAAAAAAGAAATACAATATAAACAACATACATAATTTTAAATATTTTAGTGGTCATATTTTTAAAAAGGTAAAAAGAGGTAAAATTAATTTAATAATATGTTGTATTTAGCCCAGCATAACCAAAATATATATATATAAATTCAAATGTTACATTCTTTATTTCATACTGTCTGGACTGTGGTATGTATTTTATTATTATTATTATTATTTTTTTGAGACAGAGTCTCGCTCTGTTGCTCAGGCTGGAGTGGAGTGGCATGATCTCGGCTCACTGCAGCCTCTGCCTCCCAGGTTCAAGCGATTCTTGTGCCTCAGCCTCCCGAGTAGCTGAGACTAGAGGTGTGCACCATCACGCCCGGCTAATTTTTGTATTTTTGTAGAGACACGGTTTCACCATGTTGGCCAGGCTGGTCTCGAACTCGTGACCTCAAGTGATCCCCCCACCTCAGCCTCCCAAATTGCTGGGATTACAGGTGTGAGCCACCGTGCCCAGCCTGTATTTTAATTTATAGCACAGCTCACTTCAGAGCAGCCACATTTCAAGTGTTCTGTAGTATTTTCCTGTATCATCGTATTACATCCTTCCAGAATTCTAAGAAGTAATCATTTCTCCCATTTTGAAAATGGGAAAACTGAGGCATAGAGAGATTAAGAAACTTGCCCAAAGTCATTCAATGAAGGTTTGAACCCAGATAATCTGTCCTCAGAGCCCTGCTGTGCTAGTTTCTTACAAAATCTTGGGAAAAAAAATTTTTTTGGAGGATACTTGGGGCTTTCATTTGGCGTAGACTGGGTAGTTTATACCTCAAATGGAGGGATAATCTTGACTAGACTGAACCTCGCAACAGGGTTAACAATAAAATTACATGGCAGATGCACCCCCAGGGCACCATTATTATACATAGCAGGGCCTCAGTAAATGGTATTCTTTCCCTTCTCTTCAGACCCATAAAATCAGCTTTTTTTAAAAAGGGACTTTCTTAGTTTTGTTTACCTCTGGATCCATTCCTGGTACATAGAAGACGCTCAGTAAATACTTGCGGAAGGCAGAGAGGATGCTTTGGGGTCACTGGATGTGATGATCACTCACAGTTGTTGGGGCATCTGCAAATACAGTGGTACCATTAGATGGTGGGTTTTATAAATACAGCCCTGGGTGAAGGGGGCTTATGTGGAGAGATGACCAGAGTGTTCAGATCTGGAGTTCTTTCCCTGAGCCGAGGACAGTCATAAAGGCCAGTTTTTGTGTCCCATGCCAATGCTTTTTTTTTTTTCCAGTACATTTTTATTTTATATTTTATTTATTTATTTTTTTATGTTGTTTTAAGTTTTGAGATACATGTGCAGAATGTGCAGGTTTGTTACATAGATACACATGTGCCATGGTGGTTTCCTGCACCTGTCGACCCGTCATCTAGGTGTTAAGCCCTGCATGCATTAGGTATTTGTCCTAATGCTCTCCCTCCCCTAGCCCCGCACCCCCGCACCCCGACAGGCCCTGTTGTATGTTGTTCTCCTCCCTGTGTCCATGCATTCTCATTGTTCAACTCCCACTTGTGAGTGAGAACAATGCAGTGTTTGGTTTTCTGTTCCTGTGTTAGTTTGCTTTTAAATAGAAGTATAGCATATTATACCAGCAGCAAAGCACAGAAAGCATAAGTGTGCAGCTTGGTGAATTTTCACAAAGGTAACATATCTGTATCACCAGCTCCCAGAACAAGAAATAGGACATTACCAGTGACCCGAGTGCACCTCCCCCTCTCCCATCACTGCCCCCTGTGTCTCTAAGGGTATCTGCTCTCCTGATTTGTGACTCCATAAATTACCTTCGTGGGCCCACACTTTTGAGCAAATCCCAATGGTTGGAGTTATCATGGGGACCAGTATGGGGGTCCAGTTAGTTTCAGTCCTGTTTTATCCCCAGGCCTGGGGTTCTAACCTGGTTCCCGTGTTCATGGTACAGATGATAAACTGTGCCCACAGAGGCCCACCCAACTGCTGGGTCTCATGGTGAGAGAATAGATCAGTGATTCAGACACAGAAATTACATGCTCCAAAGCCTGCATTCTTGACCATCCTGTATGTTTTCTTCTATGACGTTTTGTTCTAAAATCCCAAGATTGGGATATTTAGGTTGAGATCTTTGGACTGAATCCTATCTGGGAGTGGCTGCTGGAAAACTGTGGAGGAGGAACCCATAGCTCTGCATCCCAGAGCCCAGATGCAGCATGCTCCTGGCCCCCGGGCACTGAAGGCTGCACCTCACCTACCAGAAGTGACCTGGCTAGCAGAGCCCATCAGGTGGGGCTGCCGGAGGTGTCAGAGTGTGGGACAGGCAGGCTTCTCATTGTCCTGTGTTTCCCGCTTCCACTTCCTGCTGTCAAGCACTCTCAGGCACTGGTGAGGGAAACTTCCAATTAAACGAAATCAGGCGGCTTCCTCCCACCAAAGTGAAAATGCCCTGTGCTGCCAAGTGCGAGCTAAATTCATCGGTCACCTGCTTTGCGGCATGGGACATGGCTGGGGCTGCTGCCTGTTGGTTGCTGTGGATTTTAGCACCAGTCACTGCTCAGAGGATGCAGCAGGCATGGCGGGCTGGGGAGGGCCATCTCTGCTCAGCCTGGAGTCCCCTTGGCATGGTTGGAGATGGGCATGTGTGTTCTGGAGGAGCTTTGCTCTCTCTGTGGCACAGCCCTCTGCCCCCATGGTTCCCCAGTCAAGAGGGACAGGTGGTGGCTGTCATTCTGCAGTTGGCCCTGGCCACAGAGAGATTTGCCAACAATTCTGGGATGGAGACACCCCCAGCTTCTTTGGCCCAGAGACTGCAGCTTGACCCATAAAGCTGCAAGCAGGCAGTTCCCGCAGCCTGCCTTTCTCTCCAGAATGGTGAGGGTGGGGTGTGGGTAGAGATACATATTATTATAGCACGAGGGTCAGTGCCCTGGCTCTGAAATTTAATTCAAAAGCCAGAATAAAATTGCCCCTCTGGAGGCAATGGTTCTTATAAAAATGAAGCCAGTAATATTTATTATAATCCTAGTGAGTGAGTTGTTGAGCAGCTAATTCTTTGCTGGCCACTGGGCCTAACCTCATAGATGGAGTGGTGTATCTCTGGAGCTAGACTGCCTGGGGTGAATCCTGTATCCTCTGCTTAGTCATGTCATCTTGGACGTTTTTCAACTTCGCTGACCTTCTGTAAAATGGGGATCACAACAGTCCCTACCTTTTAGAGCTGTGTGAATTATTAATCCATGTAAAGCACTTGGAATAGCATCTGACATGTCAGTGGCTCCATACACATGTATATAATGTTGGCAGAGTCAGTTACAGTCCTCTGACTACTTTTCTATGGTGGGAACTTTATTATTCCATGTTTAACAGACAAGGAAACCGAGGCACAGACAGGCTAAGTTACTGGCCTGAACTTTCAAAGACAGTTAAGTACCAAGGTGGAATTTGAACCCAGGGGGACCTGACTCCACACTTTCCAGTGATCGTTGGGTGGAAATAGTGTCTTGCCCAAGATTTATTACCTAAAAATGAAATATATTTCAAAAAAGATACCCTCAAACTCTAACATTTCCAGTAAAAGCAGGACAAATACTCTATTTTATAATCCATTTAAAATAATAAACATAGCTGCAGTTCGTTGAGCAAATTGCTCCGTTTCAGCTGCCACGTGTTACATTGCCTTTCTGTTTGGGTCACGCCCTGAGACCTTTGTGAAAAAGTTGTGAGGTCAGATCAAAGCGGCGGCTGATGTGCTCCTGGAAGAGGAGGTGTCCTGGGGAGTGAGGACAGTTGCAGTAGCCTCTTAGAGGAGTGAAAACCTGAAGACCAGCTTTCTACCCTTTGTCTGCACAGGGTTTCCTTGAGGTGAGGCGTGCCTGTGGTCCTGGCCTGCTGTATCCCTCTAACCTCAGCATGTCTTAGGTCCTGTCCCCGGATTCAGTCAGGCTGTCACAAAGGACCGAGTTAGCCAGGAAAGAAGAGGTTTTGCGTTGGACAGAGGTAGGATGCAAAAAGCGGCCTGTGGAAATAATGTACCATTTTCTTATTTAAGTTCCCTGAGCAGAGGCAGGAGAATAGAGGACAGGAGGAGAAGAATAAAGGAGGAGGGAGGGAGGGGAAGAGAGACGGAGGAGGGGGAGAGAGAGGGAGAGAGAATACAGCCGGGTGGGGTGGAAGGAAGAAATATCAGGGTTGGGAGGTGAGAGGAGAAGGGATGCAGCCTCAGTGGGGGAGGAGGAAGAAGAGGTGGAGGAAGGTGAAACCAGTGACTTGTACTTGGCTTCTTGTGACATGGAGTGAGGAGGGCAGGGCAGGACCCAAGTGGGAGGCAGATCCTAGGCCTGGTGGAAAGGAGGAGGAGGAGGAAGGATGTGAGGTAGCAGACAGTGGGAGGGTAAAGAATGGCATATGAATCTGAGAAAGGATCATACAAGTTTTAGTGCCAGAATTGGTGATGGGGTGTTTTGGATGGGTAAACAGAGGCACGTTGTTGGACCCTGGTCAGTGGCTGTTTCCCAGGTTCTATGGTTGTGACATGCTATCTTCCTGGGTGGGTGAAGAGGCTGGACCCCAGGCAGACGAGCACGCTGAGTGCCACCTGCTCCATGCTTCCACTCGTCCTGTGTTGCCTGCCTGCATCTCAGCTTCCCGGAAGGCCCCAGGAGCGACACGGCCTTCAGGGCTTTCAGCCGGGGGCAGGAAGTGCTCCATCTGACACCATTCAGAACAGACTAGACAAATAACTCCACAGCATGTCTCATTAGGCCAGGAACACTCCAGCTAATCGAGGCGTGCCTTTGTCGTGCGCTGCTCGTGCCAGGGGAGTTAAAAAAAGAAATAGGCCTGATCCCAAGGGTGTGGGCAGGGCAGAGATAATAAACCCAAATACAAAGTCAGGCCACCCAGGAATGAGGTGGTGTGCTCTATCGGGGCCGGATTCCCCCAGCTCCAGATCATCTGGCCAAATCTGCACCCTCCTCCCGGGCCTCCCTTTTGCTGGGGATGGTTTGGGCAGAGGTGAGTGGGCATGCTTTCTGGTAAAAGGATCCGATTTTAATGTAAGAGGCTTGCTTGTGTGTTTTCCCAGCTAGTTCACTTCCATGGCTTTATTTATTTTTTTTTTTGAGACAGAATTTTGCTCTTGGCACCCAAGCTGGAGTGCAGTGGTGCAATCTCGGTTCACTGTAACCTCCACCTCATGGGTTCAGGCAATTCTCCTGCCTCAGCCTCCCGAGTAGCTGGGATTACAGGTGTCTGCCACCACACCCAGCTTATTTTTTTGTGTTTTCAGTAGAGACAGGGTTTTGCCATGTTGGCCAGGCTGGTCTCGAACTCCTGACCTCAGGTCATCCACCCGCCTCAGCCTCCCAAAGTGCTGGGATTACAGGCATGAGCCACCGCGCCTGGCCATGGCTCTTTTCCGTGCTCCAAATTCACTCAGTTTCTGGCTCTTCCTGCCAGTGTGCTCCATAAGACCAGCTCCCAGGGAGCCCTACACTTAGCGTTTGGTCTGTAAATTCCATGGGACTTGCTTCATAGCTGTAGAAACTCAGGTTCAAGGGCGTAAAGGATGTGTCCACAGCTAGTGTGTCGCTGGGGGGGTGGCGGTGTTGGTGGTGATGATGGGGATGGCGATGATGACACTGGTGATGACGATGGATAGCAGCTGCTGTGTATTTTCTTAGGAGCCGTGTTAAATTCTTTAATGGCAAAGATCGTGCTAGTAATAATAATAATAATAATAATAATAATAATAATAATAATAGATAGCATTTACTGCGTGTCTGCTCTGTGCCATGGAAGGTTCTCAGCACTTCTGGTACACTCAACCTGAGAATGACTCTGTGAAGTGGATGCTGGCGTGCCCATTTCACAGTGCAAATAATGAAGGCAGTGTCACGTCAGAGTCTGCATTCTTACTGCTAAGCCACGCCGCCACATGGCAGTCAAGACAGCGTGCTGTGTGTGGAGTGACCAGCCTCTGTGGGTGGGCGAGTGACTGGCTGAAAGGTTGACGTCAGAGCATGCTCTATTTTAGGTTCTTCAACTCGAAGGAACCCCCTCCATCACTCCCACCTCCTGCCACCCTAGTTCCTCATTCCTTTCCCCAATATTGTTTTCTTTTCTTTTTTTTTTTTTTTTGCTGATTTAGAAATAGACTTGACTTCCTGGTGCTGAGACTGTTTAGATCAATTAACACTAATGAACATTGCTAGTTAGCTATGGACTTTAGTTCTTCAAGCCTCTGACCTTAAATTTTTTTTTTCTGAAGGTCATCAATTAACTATTTACTTCATTATGGATTAGTAATCATTAGTTAAATATTGCCATTTGTTCTGTAGGTCACCGGTGTGGTTCATGCAGTGAAAAAATCAAGTGTTTCAGTGAAAAGTTGCAGAGAGAAAGAAAAAAGAGAATGAGGGAAGACAGAGGAGTATGTGTGTGTGTGTGCGTGCACGCTTATGTGCAGGGGAAGGAGGTTGGTAGTAGTGGTGTTTAGATTAGCCTTAAAATAAGAAGCTTGAAATTAAGGGTAAAGGTCTGGTTCCAGATGCTCTAAAGCCATCTGTTATTTACCTGGACAGATTTTGATACCTCTCTTCTGTCCTCTAATAGCATCTGTGTTCTGACTTTAGTCCTGGTACTTACCTGGATATATGGTAATTTGGCCATTTCCATGTCCTTCCAGATGGAGCACCTGGCAGGCTGAGTCTGTGTCTTTTGTATCCCCCTTACCTGACACAGTGCTGGCACACAATATGTGCTCATTAAATGCTTACTGAAATGACCTAGCACATAAAAGCTTTGTAAGACAGGAGCTTTATTTTACTCTGTCTGCTTTGTACTCTAGACACCCCAGGTATTCCTATTCTGATTTCTGTTGCTGCTATAGACCTGGGTCAGCCTTAAAATGAATATAAATATACGTTAATTTGAGCTAATGGGATGTATGGAAACCACTGCCTATCTAATTAATTTATTTGTGCCATGAAATAAATGTTTTAAGGTGCTCCTGAGTGCAGAGCATTCTATCAGCAGGTGGAATACAAAGTTTTAAAAGAGGCTAGGGATGTGGGCTGTGTCACCAGACCTTCTGAGTTCAATTCTAGATCAGACACTGTTCTGGTTATAGTGGGTCAGAGCACAGATTCTGGATCTGGGTTTGAATCCACATTAGACCACATACAAGCCTTGTGCCCTTATGCAAATGATTTAATCTCTGTATGCCTCAGTTTTCCCTCCTTTAAAATGGGACAGGCCGGGCACGGTGGCTCACGCCTGTAATCCTAGCACTTTGGGAGGCCAAGGTGAACGGATCACCTGAGGTCAGGAGTTCAAGACAGCCTGGTCAACATGGGGAAACCCTGTCTGTACTAAAAATACAAAAATTTTACGAGTGTGCTGGTACACACCTGTAATCCCAGCTACTCAGGAGGTTGAGGCAGGAGAATCGCTGGAACCCGGGAGGCAGAGGTTGCAGTGAGCCGAGATTGCGCTACTGTACTCCAGCCTGGGCAACAGAACGAGACGGTCTCAAACAACAACAACAACAACAACAACAACAACACAGACAGTCATGGGGATGTTGTGGGGTTAGGGTTGTTGTGGGAATAAAATGAGTTTGTCTGTAAAGCACTTGGTACCATGTTGATACCTGTCACTGGTATTTGTTGTTAATGAAGATTTAGTGACTTCATGTGTAAAACCCAACTGTGTCAGTACTTGTCTTCATAGAATTGTGGTGAGGACTGTATCAGTTTCCGAAGGCTGCCATAACAAACTGGATGGCTCAAAACAACAGAAATGAGACAATAATGTCTCTTGATTCCAGAGACCAGTTTTGTGTTGGCAGGGCCATGCTCTCTGAAACTGTGTCCTTCCTGGCCTCTGCCTAGCTTCTCTTTGGCACTCTGGCTGGTAGATGCGTCCCTCTAAGCCCCTGTCATCACTGGAGCTCTTTCTGTGTGTCTCATCACATGGCCATCATGTTATAAAGACACCAGTCAGACTGGGTTAAGGGCCCACCCTTCTCCACTATGACCTCATCTTAACTGAATTATATCTGCAATGAACTTGTTTCCAAATAAGGTCACATTCTGAGTGGGGTTAGGACTTCAACACATCTTTCTGGGGGATACACAATTCAACTCATAACTAGGGTGAAATGCGAGACTCCACATGAAGTATTGAACCCAGAACCTCTAACAAAACAGTGCCTTCAACATCAGCGGTTTCTGTTTTTACTTCCCCATACTCCTGATGACGGCCCTTTGTGGGGTGGCTTTGGGCAGTTCTCTGAACATCTTTGAATTTCTATTTCCCATCTTTTCACCGTGATGTGGCACGTCTTCCAGCAACACTGAATTATGTAGTTTTCCTGGTCTGCATTGCCTCATCTCTGAAATGGGGAGAAAGGAGAACCACCTCCCAGAAGGGACCCCCTTCCCAGGATGACATGAGGGTACACACCTATGTGCTGGTGGTCTGGACATGCGAGTGCTTCCCACGGTTGCTACCCCTCCTTTTGTGCCTGGTGTTTTCTCGTCAGTGAGGACAAATGGCTTTTGTAGTACCCCTGCAAACCACTGCACAGACCCGAGGAGGCTCCTCTTTTCCTTCCCATGGAGGTGGGAAGCCAGAGGCGCATCCAGATGTGAGGAGGCTTCGATTTTTCAGACCCCTGGGTTGCTTTGCAGTCAGAATGGAGAATACTTTTTTTTTCCCTACTTGGGAGGGAGCTGAACACATTTGCTACAGAGAAGTCTAGATATCTATGGAAACAGTCCTAATTTTAGCCTTGCCACACTTAATGCCAACTCTGAGAGTGTTGTTTTGGGTCAGGGCCTGGGGAGTAGGGAAGGTGAGTAGGCCTGCAGGGGTCAGATCAAGCAGGGAGTAGCCAACCGACAGACAAGAGGAGGATGCAGTAGAAATCTTAAGTGGATCCAAAGGAGCTGGCTCCAAGGGTAAGAGAGGGCCAGAATGATGAGCATTGATCAGAAAGTTGGATTTCAAATGAAAGGGTCTCCCTTCAGAAAGTTGGATTTCAAATGAAAGGGTCTCCCTTCTTTCCCCCTTTTGCTCTCCCTGTCTACATTCTGCTCATTTTTGGAGCCTCGTTCATGGCCCTTCTTTCCACAACCCCACGTTTGGAATCAGCCAGTCCTGCCCTGAGTGCCTGGCATCTTAGAATTCTGTTGAAGTACTAGTGGCTGCCCATTTAGTTTTGCCGTGAATCCGTGTACCTTGCAACCCCCTTTCCATTTAGTTTTGAGCCCCTCAAGGTCAGCCATGGTCATTGTCAAGTCTGTGTGCTGTGCCTGCCATGGGGTAGACATACAGTAAATGCATGATGAGTTGGGATTTGACATGATAGGTGATTTCTGGTTGACCAGACCAGGGCGTGGGCAATCACTAGAAAGGGGCATCAAATGAAGGAGTTTTTAATAAGAGGCACAGAAATGTTTTTGATGGGAGGAATCTGCCTGGTTAGGGGAGTGGAAATTGCCTGTAATACAATTAAGGACATGTTAGGGAGGGCCATGGGCAAGAGGAGGTCATGGTGTGGCAGATGCTGGCTGGGATGGTGAGGGAAGTGAGGGACAGTAATGGTTTTAGGCCACGTGGGGAGCATCACCTAACCTCATTTCAGCCCTGTCCTCCCCACCAGGTGAACTCCTAGCAGGAATCCTTGTAGATCAGATACAGGAAGACCCTTAGACATCATCTCGTCTCGAAGTGTGGTATTCAAGACAGGCATTTTTACACTAAAACTTGGCTCTTAATTTTAGTACATGTATAAAAGCCACATAGAACTAGCATTCCAAACCTGGCGTTTCTCAGGTGTTTCTGCTTCCGACGAGGCCGGCTGTGGTAGTTGCCTCTCAGTCCCATGGATTACAGGGTGCTGTTCCCACACACCCATGCACATGTGAGACCTGTAATGAGCACAGGGCCTGTTGTCACCATTTGGAACGAAGTCTTATGCAGATGGACGAGGTTGCTGGTATGAATTCTTGCACTGAATTTTCATATGCTTTGTATTCTTTTCAGCAGGATGAAATGTACCGTGGTTGTGGGAAAATGGAGCGGGTAGTGTGCTGCAAGAGATTACAGGGTAGGCTGCTTGGATCCGGTTTGGCCCTCTCCTCTTGAATGAGGAGGGAATTGGGCAAGCCGCAGGTAGACCAGGTGGCCCCGATAGATAGTGACCGAACTGGTACTTGAGCTGCATCTCCTCTTCTTGTCTAGCCATCTTGGTGTTCTAGGTAGGACATGAGCTAGGTCCTACCAAAGACTTGGGCACTTTATTTAAGTTCTCTCATGTAATCCTACTAACAACGTTGTGAAGCATGCACTATTTTTACTTACTAAACAAAAAAGGAGCGATCGGGACTAGAGGACTTGAAATAACTTTCTGAGGCCCAGCCTGCTGGTGCGAAGTAGATCCAGTGATTCAACGTGGCTCCATCCCATGACATTTAGCTGTCAGGGAGCTGCAAACCTATGAAACAGAGCTTTCAGATTTTGGAAATAGAAACGCAGGCAGCATAGTGCCACTTGCTGCCTCCTGGGAAAGCCCCTTGTCGTGAATAATAGAACCAGCGCTAGAAGGCACGTTGCTCAGGCCGGCAGGTGAGTCCGAGGGCTGGGGAGGGGTTTTCTGGGCAGTGGGACACCTCCCTCTTAGGGGGTTTCATTTGTCCAGGGCCAGTGAAAGGCTGTTTGGTCCCTCTGCTGAGTGAACAGTCCCAGCCCACAGGATGAGTCAGAGCAGAGTCCAGAACAGAAGGCAGAGGGCATGTGTGCAAAGGCCATGTTTATCCCAGGCATTTGGATCTTAAGATTCCTGTTCATGATGATTAAGGTTTTATACATAACACTGTTTACAGACTGCTTTATGATCATTTATGAGTGTCACCTGGCAACAGCTGAGTTAGCCACATCCATCCACCGTGGGGTAATTAACTCTGGGCCCACCCAGAGCCCAGTTCATTGCTTGTGCATTATTGAGCCTCCTCCCCACACCCTCATTCATTCATCTATCCATCCATCCATTCATTCATTAGAGCCCTTTTTGTCAGATGCCACCTTTGTGGGTAGCTTTGTGGTTGGCATTTCTTTTTCATTGCTGAGAATACGTAATATGCTGGACATGTTGGTGTTCCTGTTAGCGTAAGCAATAATCAACCCCTTTAGTGAGACTGTAAGCTCCATGAGGGCAAGGCCTTTGTTCATTTCTATGTCTCTGGTGCCTAGAAGAATGCCTACCCATAGTAGGTGCTCTGTGAACATTTATTGAAAAAAAAAGTGAATGGACTGAGTGTCTGCTATGTTTGGGCCTGTGGGAGGTGCTTTCTATAAAAGTCTTTCTAATCCTCGCAGCAATCCACCGTGCACCATAAGGGTGTCTGTCGTCCATTCTAGGGCTCCATCTGGTGTGTGTTTACCATTATCATAAGCATTATTGTGAGTGCTTCCAGAGCAGATAATCCTTATTATGACTGAATAATGTAGCTACATTATCCCCATTTTACAAATGAGGAAATGAGGCACAGAGAGGTGAAGTAACTCACCCAAGGTCACACAGACCCTCAAGCTTCAAGCTACTCCTTCACCTTCATATCAGCACTGTCTTACAGAACCTTCTGCAGGATGGAACTGCTCTCCATCTGCACCATCCGATGTTGTCACCGCTAGACATGGGTAGTTACTGAGTACTTGAAAGGTAGCTAGTGCAACTGAGGAACTGAATTTTTAATTTTGTTTAATTTTAATTAAATTTAAATAGCCACATGTGGGTTGTGACTCCCATACTGGGCAAAACAGCCCCCTATATGCTGTCTCTAAAGAACAACAGGCTGGGTACAGTGGCTCATACCTATAATCCCAGTGCTTTAGGAGGCTGAGGCAGATTGCTTTATGATCATTTATGAGTGTCATCTGGCAGCAGCTGAGTTGGCCACATCCATCCACCATGGGGTAGTTAACTCTGGGCCTACCCAGAGCTGAGGCCGGAGGCTGAGGCAGGAGGATTGCTTGAGCCCAGGAGTTGGAGACCAGCCTGGGCAACATGGTGAAACCCTATCTCTACTAAAATTACAAAAATTAGCTGGGCATGGTGGTGTGCATCTGTAGTCCCAGCTACTTGGGAGGCTGAGATGGGAGGATTGCTTGAGCCTGGGAGGCAGAGGTTGCAGTGAACTCAGATCATGCCACTGGACTCCAGCCTGGATGACAGAGCGAGACCCTGTCAAAAAAAAAAAAAAAAAAAAAAAAAAAAAAAAAAAAGAATAACAGCTAACATTGAATGCTTACTATATACTGAGTATTTTTTAAATGTTTTACATTTAAAATCCTGACAACCACAAATGAATTAACAAGAGTCAGAAGTTAAATACCTCCTTTACTCTCAAGATTTTATGGCAAGATACTAGTGTAGCTGGATTCTCCCCAAGGATGCATTCTGCCTGGCCCAGAGTTTTCAACTATCACCCTATTTTTATCCTTATTTTCCCTGCGTACAGCAAGGGATATCACCATGGAAAGGATCTCATTGTTCATAATATTTGTCAGCCCCAAACACAATGCTACCTGCCACCCTCCTTGGTAAAGGGGTCAACCTATATGCAGGCTTGCGAACTCACTGTTCCCACCAAATGACTCATTTAGGTTGAAAACATTTATTTGCACAAAGTGGAGTTGTGTCAGTGTCACTTTGAAAAGAAAAAGACGCCAATATTCCCTACCAGGATGTTCTGTCATGAAAACAAACAGATGAAACAAAATCTACTTCGAGGTCAGAGTGAGAAGAAGAGAAGGTCCGGCTGAAATTATCTGCAGTCTTGCTGGAGGGAACAAATGGTTGCAGCTCATGGGTATAGTGGCATTTTACGGCTCCCAGCTGTGCCTTCCCTTCTTGAAGATGGGTGAAGGGGAGTAGGTTCTGGGCTAGACTTGGGGCTATGGAGCAAAAGCAGAGGGAGCTTGTCCTGCACAGACGTGGAAGCAGAGGTCACTGAATTCTGTTCCACAGTAGAAGTCAGCAGTACTTTATGATAACAGTGCATCCAAACGTGTTCTGTCTGCTGGGCTGGGCCTGACACCCACGGCTGTGACTCTTTCAGAAACTGCGAACCAACCTGTGGGTGGGCCAGGGATCCAGGTCAGGAGCAGAAGTAGGTTAAAGGTGATCGAGAGAGACATGTGAGAGAGTGAGCGAGAGATAGAGGCCTGCAGGATAAGGCCACATCAGGAGTACAGTCCAAATATAGGCAGTGATTGTGAAACCCAGGGACTGTGGGCTAAAAGTGCTGTAGATTCTGAAAGTAGGAAGAGGAAAAATGTGGCCACGGGCCTCTGGGGAAAGCCCTGTTCTGTGGGCTTTGGCCACTTAAATCTATATGTCTTCTGCTGCTGTCTCAAGGCAGTGATGCAGCCCTGACTATCCTTCTGCCCATCTATCCATTCATCCATCCATCAGTCCAGCATTTGAGTCTCTATTCTATGCATGGTACTGGGGATAGTGTGGTAAACAGGGCACCATCCCTACCCTCAAGGAGCTTACAGTCTTGCCTGGTAAAATGTACAGAAGCATGCATTTTTGAAACAAGTAAAGGAAGAAGACTTAGGCGCTCTCCACTCCAAGGCCACCTGCACCTTGCCTATGTAGCTTTCCCCAGCAACACGAAGCCAGCATTGGTTTCTTAAGTTCCCTTCTTGTCTTTATCATGTATGTACTTAGTATCTGTATTGTGCTTTGGGCTATTTATTTATATCAGCATAGCACTTTATTGCATCTTTATTGTAAATAACCTTCCTGAACATAGGGGCCTCCATGTCTTTGCTGGGTCCTAGCTCCATGGTAGGCACTGATGGGGGCTCCAGGATTATTGAAGTAAATGAGAGCCCCTTAAACCTACAAGGAACCTTAATGGTCATCAGTGGTCTGAAGGGTCTTCTTGACCTTTCCTGCCTCCCAGCTTCCTCCTGTCTCTGTCAGGTCAAGACTCTACCTGCCTGGTAGGTTCTGTACAAACCATTGCCAGGCAATGGAAGAAGAAAGGGGAGCTGCACCCCTCACTGGAGTTGGAACTTCTGTGATGCTTGTCATAGCTCCATATGCCTCACATTCACCTGGAAACATGGGAGGCGTTAGTTAGGCCAGATTAACAGATGTGGGATGCCATATAATGACTTTGCCTTCAAGTGAAACTGCAGTCCAATGGGAGCAGGCCCCAGACATTGGCCTCCTCAAAACCCTGGGTTACTTTTAGTGTCTTCCAGTTCAGGAACCACAGTTTTCAATTTTTTGAAAATAAAAGTACTCCTATCTCCTTTCATTTTTTTTTTTTCTGAGACAGAGTCTCGCTCTGTCATCCAGGCTGGAGTGCAATGGCGCAATGTCGGCTCACTGCAACCTCCGCCTCCTGGGTTCAAGTGATTCTCCTGCTTCAGCCTCCTGAGTAACTGGGATTATAGGCATGCGTCACCACATCCAGCTAATTTTTGCATTTTTTTTTTTTTTTTGGTAGAGACGGGGGTTTCACCATGTTGGTCAGGCTGGTCTCGAACTCCTGACCTTGTGATCCGCCCACCTCGGCCTCCCAGTGTTGGGATTACAGGCATGAGCCACTGGGCCTGGCTCCTCCTTTGTATTTCTAATAAAGTTTACCTGAACTTACAGGGTCTTCTAGAAATGGGGATGGGATTGACCAGGCATTGTCAGCCATCCCCTGGCCCCATCGTGAGGCAGGAGACTGTTGGGCAAGCCGAGACGGCAGGGACCCCACCCTCTTGACTGCTAAAGGAAATAAAGACAACAGCATTATTGAGTGCTTCTCCATGGCAAATGCTTTGCCTCAATTACCTGATGAGGTTGGATTAACCTCCATTTCAGAAATGAGGGAAGTGAGGCTTGCAGAGGTGGCACGCCCGAGATAAAGGAGTGACTGAGTGGCAAAGCTGAGACTTGAACCCTAAACTGTCGGCTCCCGTGTTCCTGTGTGCCACGGTGCTGTGTGAGAAGTGGGAACGGTGAGTTCCCTGCTGGGCTCAGTATGGAGGCAAACCGCTTTCTGCAACACATTCCTATGCTCTCGGACAGCTTAATTGACTTCTGTGCCTTAATTTTCTCATCCGTGAAAGAGTATAATAATAACAACAATAATAATAATAGACTAGAAATTGGCCAGGCCCTTGGTGAGGACTCGGTGCGTGCTACCTCTGATAGATACTAATATGTAGGTATAGTAGGAACATCAATCATCAATATTGTTTTGACTCTTTTGACCTCTGATAAAAAATTTTGACCATGGACTGCCCTTTTTGTGTTAATAGATTTGTTAGGTCAATGAAAACACAGCTCTCACAAGAAGAACTTATGTTTTATAACACCAAGCCCACAAACGAACGTCATGGTGGCCCCCGAGGACACGTGACAGAGCTGGGATTTGAACCCAGGCCTATCTAGCCTCTGTGTCCCCACACTGTTTCTCTTGGGACCCAGGTGTCCGGCTGGCCCTCAGCTTCCTGCGTTCCTGGTGATTCGGCCCTGGCGGTCACAGTGTCAGGTACACCCACTCAGAGTGGGTTTATGATACAGTTAGGAAGGAGCCCAGGCCACAGCACTGGAAAAGACGAAATTGTAGTGTTGATCAAGGCCAGGAGCCTCTTTGCTCAGCGACTGCCGTCAATCCTCTTCCCTGAGAAGATCGCCTGTATTGTTCAAGATGTTCGGATATAACCTCCCCCAGGAAGGCTTCCCTGATGTCACACACACCTCTGTCGAAGGCTCCCAGGTGGGCCGAACAGAGTCTTCCTTTGCTCCCATGGCAGCTTACAGGATCTTTGGCAGCCTTTTCCATGATGTTTTCTTCCCAGGGGTTTGTGTAGCTTGTCTTCACCACTTGCCGTGAGCTCTCGAGGACAGAGGATTTGTCTGTGTTAGAAACATCTGGTTCCTGCCGGGCACGGTGGCTCATGCCTGTAATCCCAGCACTTTGGGAAGGTGAGGCAGGTGGATCATTTGAGGTCAGGAGTTCAAGACCAGCCTGGCCAACATGGTGAGACCCTCTGTCTACTAAATATACAAAAAAATGAGCCGGGCATGGTGGCGCGTGCCTGTAATCCCAGCTACTCGGGAGGCTGAGGCATGAGAATTGCTTGAACCCAGGAGACAGAGGTTGCAGTGAGCTGAGATCATGCCACTCCAGCCTGGGTGACAGAGTGAGACCTTGTCTCAAAAAAAAAAAAAAAAAAAAAGAATGTCTGGGTCCCAAAATCCACTTTTCTTCTACTGAGGACATAGGAATGGTCACCTTCCCTGCCCTTTTCTAGGGCCATGTGGCTCATTCTGGCCGAAGGGTGGTGAGCAGAAGTGAGTTGCATAATCCCAGTGAAAGCATTTATTTGCGGGTGCAAGATCTCCTGGGGCTGGCGCGAAGTGCTGGGGGGCAGGACTGAGGAGTGGCACCAAATGCTGCGTAGGAGAGTTCTCCAGATTTGACAGTCAAGGATCCTCATGGCAGCATGGAGAGGCCAGGCGTGTCTGCGTGGCCATTCTGTGGGTGAGGAGCCTGAGGCTTAGTGAGGTTAATTGCTTGTCCAAGGGATCTTGTGCAAATTCCATGGCTTGTTCTATGGCAATATGCTACATTCGCTGTTATGATTTCTTGTTGTTGCTGTAAATTGTAGGCTAAGGGTGTGTGTGTGTGTGTGTGTTTGTGTGTGTGTGTAGGTGGGTGAGGAGTGGGAGTGAGGAACAGCTAGCCGAGTTGCAGTGCTTGGTCCTTTTGCAGAATGGGTGTTAGCAAAGGCTGGCATGCTTAGCCCAGGTGGTGGCTGTACTCGGCCACCAAGTTAACGAAGAGAAAAACGAGTTAGCTGTTACCTCCTCTCAGATGTCAGTTTTCCTTTAATGTGGAGCTTTGGAGAGAATACCAAGATAGGGCTGTGCTTACTGACCTTTTCCTTGCCGCACAGATGGGAATAAGGGGGGTGGAAGAAAAGGAGGAAGAAGAGAGGTGTTCGAGGCAGAGGCTGC